>NC_000005.10:92231019-92534049 GCF_000001405.40 Homo sapiens | reverse complement strand
TTCTGTAGCTTTAGTTTCTCTTATTTTGGAGGCATCTCCTTGCCCTCATCAGAGATGGATATTGGGAGCCTGGCTTCTTTGAAGACTATACAGAATTCAAAGTCTTCCTCCTGTTCATGGAAGTTTGAGGGCATAAGCATTGTTTTTAAGTCTCAAAAAGTCAAAGGCTTTTAAAAAATCTGAGCTTGTTTCTTTGGCACAGTATTCATTCAATGGTGTAGCAGGCAGCCAGGCGCGGTAGCTCAAGCCTGTAATCCTAGCATTTTGGGAGGCTGAGGCAGGCGGATTACAAGGTCAAGAGATAGAGATCATCTTGGCCAACATGTTGAAACCCCGTCTCTACTAAAAATAGAAAAATTAGCTGGGCGTGGTGGCGTGTGCCTGTAATCCCAGCTACTCAGGAGGCTGAGGCAGGAGAATCACTTGAACCCGGGAGACAGAGGTTGCAGTGAGCAGAGATTGCACGACTACACTCCAGCCTGGCAACAGAGCAAGACTCCGTCTCAAAAAAAAAAAAAAAAAAAAAAGTGTAACAGCCATCTCATCAATTTACTTTAGGATATCAAGTGCATTAACCACATCCACATCCATTGTCTTACTTCATGTTCTCTCATGCTGTCTCTCACGTGTTCTCTGTCTTCTCTCTCTCTCTCTATATATATATCTATCTCTAGACTCGTGGTGGCTACCATGAGGCTATCTGGAACAATAATAAGAAGGTCACAAACTTGGATCTGATTTTTGCCTTTGGTCTTTTAACTGAATTTTACTTGGCACCACACTTTTAATGCACTATTTTCCACATCACTTTATTCAACTGAAATATTTAGTAGAGCTGTGTCACTTTTGAATTTGTCACCTGCCATTTGGACTCCAGAAGCAGCTAGCCTGTTGGTGAACTCCACAAGGCCATAGCCTTGTCTCTGTTCTCTTTTATATCTACTGGAAAATGAGCCGATTCTTCACTGAGCTCAACTTCCTCTTGTGCATTGCCAATTTCAGGCAAAAATAGTCAACACATATAGTCTTCTAACTTCTTCTTTTAATGCTACAATTTCCTTAGCAATGTCATCTGCCTCCCAATTTATCTCAGGAAGTAATTTTATCTTAAGTATTCCAACTGCAAAACAAAGATCACTGGACTGCTGTATTAAGTATAGGCTATTAGGGTAAGTGGACTAGTAGGGAGAGGCGAAGGCAGGCAAAAGTGGAATCATGCAGTAAAAGTCAGGAAGCAATTGCAATAATTCAGGAAATAAATAATAGTGACTTTGACCAGTATGATGATAGTAGAGATAGTATGAGGCCATCAAATTATCATTATATATCTAAAATGGAGTCTACATTTTTTGATGATAGATTGAATAATAGATTGGAGAAAGAGAGTGAGGTATGAAAGGTGACTACAAGGTGTATAGTCAGAAAAACTGGAAGGATGTTTTTGTCATTATTTCAGATGAGGAAGATAATGGAAAGATTAGAATTGAGGGTAGGTAAATGTTAAGAGCTCAATTAGGGACAAGTAAGATGAATATACCTGTTAGATAGTAAAGTGGGTATTGAATGGAAAATTACATATACAAATATGGAGTTCAGTGAAGAATCCTAAACTGTAGAATTACATTTATAAATAAGAGCATCATTGGTATTAGATGGAATTTGAAATCATGAAATTACAATCTAGAGAATGAATGTAGATGAAGGGAAAAAGACACATATGTGTTACTATCAGTAGGGCTTATCTCCACTCTGAACCCTTTTCCTATTCAAAAAGACAGATATTTTCTACCGTTTTTTAATTAAAAAAATCTAAGGTAGTATTTTTATTGGAATAAGTTTAAGTTTGTGGTTAACTTAGGGATAACTTATATCTGTAAGACATCTTTCTAAAACTCAGTATGCCTTTGCATTTGTTCTCTTTGTCTTCACAGTCATTCTAACAGTTTGAAGAATTTTTATATAGATTTCTATGTATTTTAATTAGGTCCCTTCATAAGTATTCTTTTTCATATTTTAAAGTGAGATCTTTTATTCCATTTTATCTTTCAACTGGCTATTGCTTGTATGTAAGAAAATTATTGATTTCTATTAATTTTATATCCAGAAATGTTAAGTTTTCTTATTGGTTTTAATAGTTTTCCATCTCTAGTCTTGTGTTTTTCCTTTTCAATGTTAATACCTTTTTTCCTTTGTCAACTTATATTGGCTAGTTGCTCCAGAAAAAAAAAATGAGAGTGGAAGCAAAGAACATTCTTACCTTACTCCTGCTTTTAATTTTAATAGGAATGCTTCTAGCGTTTCTTCATTAAGCATGAAGCTGACTTTTAGAATGATAAAAGTACTCATCTATTTCTATTTTTAAAATAGGTGCTGAAATTACATCAGATATATTTTTAACATTTATGAAGGTAATCACATCAGTAACTCAAAACTAGTTTGAGCACTTACGATGCCAGGTTTTGTTCTAAATGCTGGTGATATAGCAATGATTAAGAGTCCTAGTCCCTGCTCTTAGGCACCTACCATTTCAGTAGAGGAGATAGATAATGAAGAAGTTATAAAAAGATAAATAAAATAGGGTTAGGTTGCAATTACTAGTAGGTAGGTAAATAAACAGGATAAGGGGTTAGAGAAAGATGCTAAGTGCTCCTTTAGAAAGGGAAGTCCATTAAGGCCTCTCTGCAGAGGGGACATGAGAACAAATACCTGAGGGCGAGCTTGAGCCTTCAAAATATATGAGGGTGAGGAGGGTGTTCTCAGAAAAGGACACAGCAAGGGCTTGATGTACTTATATAATTATCTTAACAGATTTCCTAATCTTGAACCATTCTTGCATTTCTGGATGAAACTCCACATAATCACAGTGTATCCATTTTTTGTTTTCCTGGAAATTGTTTCTTCTTACTCTTTCCCAGTTTCATTGCCTTGGTGCAGGCATTCTTTATTCAGACTCTTCTAGTTTGTTTTCATATAGTTGGCTCTAGACTGTTTTAATAGACTCTTATCAAGTTTCTTATTTCTATTCTTTGTTTTTCATCTCTTATACAATTAAGATTTTCTTTCTAAAACACAAACTTTGTTTGCATATCTACTTAAACAACTTTTTGCAGCTTCCCATTGCCTCACAAAAAATCCAAATGCACCAATGAAGGCATTTGGAGCTCTAATGTATCTTTTTTGACACATCTGCCTCCTCTCCTTCATGCAACATCCCTTCACACACGTGACACCTTGTATTTCTGTGATGTTACATGCATTAAGCTCCATAGATGTTGTGCTACTTCTTTTGATAAAATAGTTAATGAAGCATAGACCTTTCCTTCAGGAATAAACAGTATGGAAGCAGAGACAATATAGTAGGTAATCTGTATATAATATGATCAGCAGTTATATAAAATTATTCACTAGGTGGCTCAGTGAATTCTATATTATAAAAAAAATCATGCACAAAGTAGGCTTAGTGTTTTATGGATTTTTTAACATAACTAAAAAATCTTTTAATAAATACAAAAGATCAGATATTTAAAAAAAATTGCTGTAACCAGAAACCTACTTTATTCTTAAAGCAAATGGAAAGCTAATGACATTTTATTTTTTAAGTTTTTTAAAAATAAAGAGTATATATTAGGCTTTAAAATAAAAAAATACATTTTTTCTTGTTTAATTATTTGCATACCTGTATTTTCTATATTTTAGATATGAATTGTCTTTAATTTAATATGAGAAAAATTTAGTAACTGAGGTCTATACTTTTGTGCATGCCTGTAAACCCGTCAGCTTAAAGGACACCTCTGGGAAATTAAACGAATGAAGAATAAGCAAAACTTATTAAAAGTCACCAATAGAATGGGACAACTGAGTGAATCTACTTAACTGTAGCAGAGGTGACCTTTAATTTTTCCATATTTACAGTTTCTTTCCAAAAGTTTCTTACAGTTTCTTACAGCTATCTTACAGTTTCTTTCCAAAAGTTCTATCTAGAGGAATAGAAGTACTTGGATGGCCAGAGAAGGATCCACAGTCCCCGAACTTTCAGTGTAAGATTATGTATTACTGTGAATATGTTATTTTTCACAAAATCAAAATCTCAAAGGAGTTGGTGGCCATACAATATTAAGATACATTTGAAAGCATTTAGAATCTCTTTTTTCCTTCCTTATCTCACTAGTCCCCAGATTCTGGCTTTCAGGTGGTAGGGCTGGCTATGATGGGAGACTAAAAATGCATTCATAAAGATTAGCTTCTTAGAAAATCCTTATATTACACAACATTTCCAGTTCATGCGACTGACTCTTGTTTTCTGGAGGTGTTAATCTATTTCATTTACGGATTCTGCTTTCAAGAGAAACATCTGCTTTGTAGTATGGGTTTTAGCCAAGGATTCCATCACCTGGAGGACTGGTTTTGGCCTTAATCCTGTGACTAAATTCCTTGGTTGTGATTTAAGTTGTCTAATTTCCTCCTCATCTGTTCTGATCTCAGTCACTCACTAGACCCCTCACATATCTCAATCTTGTAGAATTATTTTGTGTTTTTCCTTAACCCTGCTTTGCTGCCATAACCTGGTGATGTTGCTTCCACAGACTCCTCTTACAGATCTTATCTTTTATTTACAGCCTATAATTTTTTACACATAATCTTTCTAGAATTCTTACACTAATTTATAGACTTAAACTCCATTTCATTCAGCAAACCCTTATTAAATACTAAATAATGTACCAAATATTAGGAAAACAAATATGAATAAGTCTCAGTGCCTTTCCTTCCAGAATTCATTTTTTATTCAAGAAAATAGATATACAACTAGATAATCACAGCACATGTAAGTGTGATTATATAATTATTAACAAGTACCCTGGGAGTATGCGGGAGGGAGTAGGTAACTTTACCTGGGCAGAAGAGGAAGAAGATAAGACTTTGCAGAGATGGTGACAGAGTGTAATTTTGAGAGATGACAAGGAATGTGTATAAGAGGTGGCCAGCATGGTGGCTCATGTCTGTAATCCCAGCACTTTGGGAGGCTGAGGCGGGTGGATCAAGAGGTCAAGAGTTTGAGACCAGCATGACCAAGGTGGTGAAAGCCCGTCCCTACTAAAAAATACAAAAATTAGCCAGGTGTGGTGGCGAGCACCTGTAATCCCAGCTACTCAGGAGGCTGAGGCAGGAGAATCTCTTGAATCTGGGAGGCAGAGGTTGCAGTGAGCCAAGATCATGCCATTGCACTCTAGCCTGGGTGACAGAGCGAGACTCCATCTCAAAAAAAAAAGAAAGAAAAACTAGAGGTATCAAACACTTCGTAAATGGAAAATTCTATCTCTTATCTTGGAGATCTCTATTGCCCATATTAGTAGTCTTCCAACAGACATAAGTGCCACCTCTATTGGTAGCAACTGTCAACATTGCAATCTTATAAGTTGGTTTTTCCTTCATGTTAATCTCTGGGATCAGAAGAGTCCTAGTTGGCTACTAGCTAGCTCTATGAATGTGGACAAAAAACAAAACAAAACAAAAAATCCTCCATAAAGTCTCAGTTTCTTTGGTACAAATCAAGGTGTGAACTCCACTATTGCCTAGGTGGATTTTTACCCCCAGATCTATGATTTGAGGAGAAAAAAAAATCAAAGATAAGTTGAAAATATAATTATTCGTAGATAAAATTTATGCATTGATAAATTTTGTCATGAGTAAAATTGTATTAAACAGTATCAGAATTTCTAATAAACAGATAGTTCATGACATATTTTCATTTCCTTGAACAGATTTCAGTAGCATAAAATGGTGAAAAATATTGACAAGCTTTATGAAAAAATTATCAAATTAATATTTACTATATTATTGTATTGAAATTAAAATACTATCATATTTAATAATTTAAACAAATTTTATATTTCTGATTATACTAATTTGTTGCTAGAGATAAAATGACACTTTCTTTATATTGTGCCTTAAGAACGGCTCAATTGTAATTTATGTATGTTTTAAAGATATTCATATAAGAAAAGATTGGGCATAGACAAAATCTAAAGCATATCTCACCCCAAATTTTGGAGTTGATTTGCTATGTGAGATCATCCATAATAAAAAGCAACAGTGAAATGATCTGGTTTGAAAGTATCATAAAACTCAAAGGCAAATCTATTTTTGGAAAATTCTAGTGATGTTTTGAAAACAACTGAGATGACTCATCTAGTGAGTGAGATAGTGTGGCTTCCTCAGAATTCTGAGCATTTGAGTATCTTCTTCACCTCACCCTCCCAACCCACCCACCCCTTTTTCCCCCTTTTTCCGTGCTTTTGCATCCTCATTGCCAGTGAATGGATAGAGGCTCAGGCACTTTTGTACCCTACCCTTTTAACTTTCATATTTCCATCCCTCTTCAGTTTTTACTCTCCTTGGGTTGTGTATTTACCACTTTGGAATTAAAGCCATAGTTGTAGAAGAGCTTTCTGTAGAGGCTGAAATGGATAGAGATGGAAGTTACGGGATTACAACATGGCTTCACATCCCGGTTTCATGTGATCATTGATAAATCATCTAACTTTACTGGGACTAACTTCCTTCCTTCAGCCTATTTAAAATTCCTTATTTATGACTCCTTCAGTGATATCAATTTAAAAAAAGTTTACCAGACATGAGTTAAGTGCCTACCAAGTACCCTGTATTGTACAAGGACACTGATACAGTCCTTGGCCTCCAATAGCAAAGATCTCTCATCAAACTGTGTGGTCCAGACGTATTCTGTTTCTTTCTTTCACCTATTGCAAGAGGGTAGATAACAAGAGAAAGATAATATGGCAGGAGAACATCATGTATCGCTCCTTTCTGTGTATATAAAATAGGAAAATGTCTTATTTGTGTAATAATAACTTACATTATTAACTTACATAAAATAGTTACTTGAGCCAAACCAGAGAGCCTTCTAAAACAGAACAAAATTCAAATTATTTTAATGAACTTATGTTTTATTTAGTTTTAATTACAAAGCAGTTTCTGTTTTTTTCTCCTAGAGTTTCTGAAATGTATTAATCCATTTTTAAGTGTTTTGGTTTAGAATGACCCATTTTGCTAGATACTTTCTCAATAACGTTTAAACTCCTGTATATTTTAAAAGAATGTATTCTATGTGTTTCTGATTCCTTTTACTTAATTTCTCCAAATATTGTTGTCTATGAATGTGCTAAAGAAAAAGGAACTTCTTTTATTTGGTGTTTGAAATGCCTTAAGATACCAACAATTTGTCAAGAAGTAAAGTAGCATCTAAAAGTTTGAAATTCTTGCTGTCTATGAAACACATATCGCTAAATTTATTCAAGAACTTAGTTTGAGAATCCTCACAAAAATAAGAACCACAAACTTAGCTAAATCATGACCTTGCATTCCCTTTCCTTCCCTAACTATATGGATCTAATTTCCAGATATTCATAATCAGACTTAACAACTTTCTTCATATTCATTTCTCTGTGTTTCAGACAATAAAAAGAAATCTAATGCATTCCTAAAAAGAAACTGACTTCAGTTGAGAATAACTGGGAAGCTGAATATGACTAGAATGGAAATGCTATTATTTCCATATGCCAGAGAATATTATTCAATTAACATAAAAATAACAAGGAGATAACAATATGCCTTCTTGAAGTAAGCGCGAACTTTCCCATGCTTTATTTGATCTATATGCTGAATATGAGCAACTGTGGCCTTCTCCTGTTTTTTTTTTTCGTTTCTCTAAAAAAACCCTTTTCTTCAGTTATGCACATAGATTCAAACAATAACAACACACCAGCAAGAGCAAAAAACCTTCATTAGGAGTCGGCTAACATGATGTAAGAACATGAAGAGACACAACTCTGTCCAAATCCAGCCTCCATCATTTACAAGCTGCTTGATATTAGAGGAGTCTTTCTAAACTTCCTGACATCCTCAGTCTCTCTCTCTCTTTTGTTAAAATCAGTAGAGATAATAATGCATATGATTGTTTTAAAAATTGGGAAAACTACCTAAAATATTATATTCCCCTCACTTCCTTTAAAAAACAGACCTTATTTAGTTCTAGGTGTTGATAGGCTACCAGATATTAGCTAATTCTTTTAAACTGTGTGTCTATAATAGATTTAATTTAATTATATATATATATACACACACAGACACACATATACATTAAATAAAACATTAAAGTTGCTGTTGTACTTTTATTAGTTTGTATGCTATATTCTCTAGCTAGATCACAGGACACATTATTATCTTAGTTACAAGTTTTTCATTGCAACTAAGACAGAATTTCTAAAGTTAAAAGATTGCTATTTTTGTGAGTATATGGATTGAGTTTCAATCAAATCAATTGGTAGCTAGCTGTCTTCTTTCAAACTGTCCAATTTTTGATCAAAATCAATTTAACTTATATTTATAGATCTGAAATAGCTGCTCAAAATTCGGATTGTAGGCAACGCTAAAAAAATTGTACATGATTTCTGATGAGAAAAAGTCCTTCAAACAATATTTGAGTAATTAAAAGTTAAAAGAATAACAAAAGGTGACAAAAAACATGTGCTAGCTGTCTTTTTTTAAGAAAGATTCTTGCAAGTTGCCATCAAATCTTTAACTTACATCTCATTGGTCAGAACGTAATTACATGGTCGCACAAAGATGTTTTGAATGAACTTGAAAATGTAATTTGAGTGTTCATGTGCCCTGCTGTCTTATACATTAAACATGGAAGAAGTTCAGAACAGATATTGTGAAATAATGTGCCTCTTGCCACATGACCCAAGCTTGATTCTTTTAAAAAGTCTCTTCCTAAAGTATTTCCTACTCATTTTAGTATAAGGCAATGCAGAAAAACTCTCTTGTTTTAAGAATATAACACTTCACTGTATGCTGAATCTCCATTAAAACATACAGAGGACACATATATTTAGTAAAAAAAAAAAAGGGGGGGGAAGCAAATATATTCTTCTACTTATTATATATATTACTAATTGTTACTCTTTTATAAAAGAACAAATATACGACTAATTTTTCCTTAAAATTTGCTATCATCTCTCTTTGGCCTCCCTAGTCAGGCTGATTATTTTTTTTCCTACATTTTCTCATTCTTTTTTTCAATTTTCCTCCCCTTTTTTCTGCTTTGATATTATAACATTTAAAAATATTTATCACTAATATCTGCATTTGTTTTCCAACAGAATAGCTTTTTTCTGCTTTGATATTATAATATTAAAAAATATTTATTACTAAAATATGTGTTTATTTTCCAACAGAATAGCATAGTGGAAAATTTATTTTCATAGTGGAAAATGTTTATCTGCCTGTTCACATTATAAAATTAATAAAATATTACTTATTTATCTAGAATAAATAGTTTGATTTACTTGCTATGGAGAATGTTGAAACATACATGCACAAAACACATAATGAACAATGCATGATCTTGAATATGACCATGCTGAATTTGGGGGTAAAGATTAAAATTCCTTCATTTAATCTTGAATAGGGAAATACAAAATAAATACAGAAAGACCCCTAGAAGTAGGATTTCAAGAGTTCTTCGAAGAAGGGCCAGATAGTCAAAAAGGAAAAGCAAGGACATTTTTGGAGATATGAATGAAATGAACAAAATAATAGGGGTGAGAGTGACCTAGTCAAGAAGCAGGTTACTCAAGGTTCTATCCAGACTAACGGAGAAGGCCGGGGGGAAAGAACGTAAGTTTTATAGGTGGTTTGGATAGAAAGCCTTCAAAGATTCTGAGTTTATCATTCATTCTGCATAAAACTAAAGTTAATTTTTTAAAACTTTTAAATTTTAGATTGGTGTTTGATTTACAAGAAAGTTATAAAGATAGTACAGAGAGTTCCCATATACCCATACCCAGTTTCCTCTATTATTAATGTTTTATAATAGTATGATACATTTCTCACAATTATGGCTCTCATATTGATACTTCAGTACTATATAAAATCTATATTTATTCAGATTTCCTTAGTTGTTACCTAAAGTCCTTTTCTGTTCCAAGATCCCTCCAGGATGCCCTATGACATTTAGCAATAAGGTATTCTGAAGGATACCTTATTACATTTAGTAATCCCTATTAAATGTAGTACCCATATTCTTTAGGCTGTGACAGTTTCTCAAACTTTCCTTTCTTCTGATGACCTTGAAATTTGGAAGAATATTGGTAAGCTATTTTGCGGAATGTCTCTCAATTGAGATTTGTCAGATTCTCTTTTCTCATGATTATACTAGAGTTTTGTGATTTGGGACGAAATACCCCAGAAATAAAGTGCTGTTCTCATCACATCATATCAAGGACACATACTATCAACATGACTTATCACCACTGAAGTTAATGGAAATCACCTGGCTGAGGGGCTGCTCCGCTGTCAAATTACTTTTTCCCACTTTCCCTACTCTGCTCCTTGGAATGAAGTCATTTTCTACAGCCCACACATAAAGAGCAGGGAGCAACATTCCACTTACTTGAAAGTAAAGAAACTGTATAAATTATTCAGAGTTATTTTGCATAGGAGATTTAGCTATTGTTTCTCATTTATTTAAATAAATCATTCTGTCATTCATTTATAATATTTTATATAATTACAAAATCAGGTATATTTATTTTATTATTTGGGATACAATCCAGTATTTCCTTATTTATTTTGTTGCTCAAACTCTTCTAGCTTTGGCAATAGAGAACTATTTCAGTTGGCTCCTGTGTCCATTTAACTTAGACCCTATCGTTTTGGGCTTTGATTTTGTTTTTATTGTGAACATTTTCTTATTTTCTGTACTACAATATACTCCAGCTTCACCCTGTGCATTCCTGGCCCTAGACCTAGAATCAGTCATTCTCCAAGGAGCCTTGATTCCTTTTATTGGAGAATAGTAAGAGAAACCGAGGTCTGGATGCTAGTTGTGTATTATGGGGCTGAATTGTGTCCCCTACCAATTCATGTTGAAGTCATTTCATTTTTATTTAATATATCTTGAGATATGTGTCTCTTTCACATTTCCTCTCTCCAAACACACAAACAATCAAACATATCATCACCATCACATATAAGGTTTACTTGTCCAAAACCAGATTTGGACACTAAGAAATAGTATTTTCACCCAGTATGTTATATGGGTTACTAACACATTGCCATGTTTCTATGTTTCATAAATTCTTGGTAAGAAACAAATAGATTAATAAGAAGAAAAATCAGGGCTCTAAGTGTTTTTTACACAAATGTGACAAAGATTTTTCCTTTCTAAAATAGGAGTGTGGTGGGGGGTTGGAGGGGTAGCAAGCACATAAAGTTTGAGTGGGAGAGCAGCAGGTAAATGGGCTACAAATTCCTCTTTAAAAATCCTTCATTTCTCTTCCAAATAAGGTCCTCTATATAATCGCAGCACAGTGGTAGATGTTGCAGAGCACAAGAGCTGCAGGTGCTCTGCACCAGAGACCAAAGTGTCATTACTTGAAGAACTGTTTGCTATTGGAGAACAAATAGTCGGGCATGCAAACTAAGAAGCTGTTACGACCTTCTACTCTCTGGTCCCCAGGGAGGCCATTTTATTAAAAAGAGGGAAACCATTGATTTTTTACATCAGACAGATACATATCACAACTAGTAGTAAATTGCCCATGATTCCCTGTATTATCTTCCCCAGGGAGTCTTCTGTAAGGAGAAACCAATGATTTCAACTTTTCAGGTGTGAAGTTGCCCTTAAATTATCTCCTTTATACTCTTAGTCCATACTGTGTCAATAACAGGAAAACAAAAAGCGAAGGTAGTTCAAACATATGAAGAATGGATATTTGATAAAAAAGAACAGGACAAAAAAATTACTTGGATGTGTTTAAGGCTACATTTCAACATAACTCAAAATTATTTTTCTCCATAAATATATGAATAGTTTTTGTCCCAGTGAATACATATATTCGTAATAAGACAGGATTAACCATAAATTGGGTTCCTACTCATCATCATCATCATCATCAAAGCATAATCCAAAGCTGGAATATTAAAATTGACCAAACATTTTAAAATTCTCATTTCTCATGAAATTATTTGAGTTCTTAAGTACCCCATTCTGTGGCATCTTAGAATAATTCTTATTCAGAAGAATTCTTAATTATATGTTCAGCTTAAAATGCAATGTGGATAGATAAAAAGATCAAGGAAGCTGAATCCAAAGACATATATATCTTTATTTACTACCTTATTTTTAAAATGATAATGTTTAGAGTATTGATCTAATATGTAAATAATGTAGAATCTGATTATTGCAATGGAGTCCAAAAATATGCAACTAATTAAGAACTATGCAGCACTAATATTTCTTAGAACTCTTAAAATTTGGCACCTCTTGAAAGACAGTGCTCCTCTCTTATTTCTTTCTGTATATTTTCATGAATTCTGTCTTTCATAGGATAGCTCACATTATCAGGTGCTTTTCCTCTTTTTCACATGATGGTTTCCAGCAGTAATGCATCTATAATCTGTCCTGTTCACAGCCACAACACTAAGAGATCTCCTGCATTAGGGATGCATCTGCAAAAGTCCTGCAGTTATTTCAGATTGGTTTGTTCCAGCGGTGGTGGCATGGCATAATCATGGTGGCTCAGGTGATATGACATTTTTATTGGACTGGCCTGACTCTAACGAAATTGTGAATGTGATCAGCCCTAAGTGAAATGCGTGGGTAGGGATTTTATTTAAGATAAATCAAGGTACAGACATGAAAAGATGGGGAAATAGTTGCTTGTCAGACAGACAAGTTTTCTACAAGTTCTGATATTTTGAGAAACGGGAACTGTTGGGATTTGATGTAAGTATGGATTCAGCTGTGCTTATTTAAAAACAATTTTCCCATCACCTATTTCTCATTATATTGTGAACTGGAGGCAAAAGTGTTATAAGAAGAAAAGTACCGACTGAGCTTAGAAATAGAAGAACTAAACACTAATTTCAGTTTTACCAGTGAACTGGGTCAAGACCGAGCAATCGAAAAGAAGAGGAACTGCCATACGATCCAGCAATCCTACTTCTGGTTATATATTTAAAGGAATTGAAACCAATACATAAAAGAGATATCTGCATTCCCATGTTCATTTCAATAGTATTTACGATGCCAATATTAATAATCAACATAAGTACTCATGAAGGGATAAAATAATAAAATGTGATATATATACATATATATACACACAATGGAATACTATAAAGCCTTAGAAATGAAGGAAAGTCTGTCATCTGTGACAACATGGATGAACCTGGAGAACATTATACAAAGGGAAATAAGCCAGCTATAGAAAGAAAAATGCCACATGATCTCACTTATATGTTGGAGCTAAAAAAGTCTAAGTCATAAAAACAGAGTGGTGGTTACCAGAGGCTGGAGAGCAGAGGGGGATGGAGAGCTGCTGATCAAAGGGTACAAAGTTTGTTAGAGGGAATAAATGTCCTATATCGATTGCACAGCATTGTTACTATAGTTAATAATAATGTATTTTATATTTCAAAATTGCTAAGATAGTAAATTCCAAGCATTCCCACCATAAAAACTGATAGCATGTGAGGTGATGGATTCACTAATAAGTTTAACTCAATCATTCCACTATGTATACGTTTATCATGACATCATATTTCACTGTATATACAATTATTATTTGTCAATTAAAAACAAAAATAAAATAAACCTATGTTATGAAAAAGAAAAGAAAAAAGGATTAGATTATTTCTAGATCTCTCTCCATCCCTGAGGCTCTGTAATCCATGAATATTGTCAATGATCTATTACAATGAATGTTGGAAGAAGGTGAAACCAGATGGGTGGCCTCAGATGAACAAAAAGGATGATGTCATGTAATCTCAATAGTTGAGAAAGAAAGACTTATTGTATTTGGGAGAATTCCAAAATTCATGTGTTATTCCAAGGCCTTGAATTTTTATTCATATATTCTTTATAATTTGTTGTAATTACTCAACAATTTCAAACACCACCCAAAATAGGCATTATAAGATTGCATTTTCATTTTAGTCTGCCGTGCTGTTGCATACCTAAAGGAAAATAAATAAAAACTCTGAAAAGCAGCCAATTCAAATATTGCACACCTGGCTCCCATTTGTTATAAGATTATCACTGAAAACAAAGATTCTTGACTTTTACAACTCTCAATTGTGTGGCCTCCTCAGCAATACTCCCCAGTCTAACCTGGCAGAAACTGAACCAAGAACAAAAGAAACCCCTCAAAAAGATCCACATTATGATCTCCCTCTCCTGGCCCTTGAACTCAATGACAGTATTTAAAACAAAAGTATATAAAAAAAGAAACTATGACAGCAAGAAACATGTTGGGGTTCTTCCATCCTCCCACCCACATGCAACAACAATAAAATTAAAATACGTCAAAAACATTTTCCTTTAGCAAGAGAAGTTTGCTTTTCTTTTGGAGATACCAAGGCCCCATAAAAGAAAAACATTTCCCTCTTGAGTTTTTTCAGTTTTAAAAATGTTTGAGTTTCTTAAATATGCAATTGGATTAGCAAATCCTGAAGAAAAACACAATAGAACTGAGTGCCAGAAGGGCTGCCTACTGCCTAGGTGTGTCTACATTTAACCATTCCGTTTTACTCCTACTCTAAATTGTAATTTCTAATTACAATAGGCTTGCCAGGTTCATTGGGTCTGTGAAAAAAGTAAACACAGAGAAGAGAATTCTAAGTATAGAATTCTGTTCAAAAATACTTCAAGATCCCTAAGACCAGCCCTCTGGCTCTAAATCTGACTGCTTCTCAAATATTTCAGATATTGAGCAGTATGCCATTTATTCCCTTTTTCTTGATTGATTGAAGGTCTAGATGCATATATTTGAATAATAACCTCATCTCATTTAAAAGCATCCACATGTCTGAAATCTTTACTGAAAGGAAATTGTACATTGTAGTTCATGTACAGCTATTACGTCTTTTTAAAGCTTTTTTTAAAAAAATCAACCCCACCGTATAAGGAGAACTACAATATTGTGTCTTTCTATGCTGTATACATTGTGAAAATATATTCAGGTATTACTTGTCTAATTGAAAACTGATCACCCCACACTTGGGCAAGCCTTTGGTAATCTGTCAGATGCATCTAGCCCAGACATAGGATAACGTTTTCTTTTTCTTCTCTCTGAGTATTCTAGATACACTGTTCTTGAACTCCCTACCTCCAATCTCCAATATAAGCAAGAATTGATGTTAGATATTATGAGTAGTTTAATCAGGACACAGGGAGTGCTAAGTGAATAGTGTGTTTAAGAACTGTAAGTGACTGTTATGTAAAGACAGCAGGCAATATGGAAAACTTTCAGCACTGTGCAAACGGGGAACTAGAAACATGAGAATAAACAGATGTAGAGGGGTTTGCTATGGGAGTTAGCCATTGAGGAAAGGCTGGAGGTTAGTGTGAATGGATATGATGCAGCATGACTTTTAAAGTACCTAGTTTTGCATGAGTAAGAAAGTGAGCAATAGTCTTTCAGGAATAGAAAGTGAAAAGTGAAGCTCAGTGTGGGAGTAGTGGCAGGTGAGGAGCCCCTTGTGGTGAATTGGAGTATATGCTTATAGTCGACAGAAGATAACAAAAGCTGAGCACAGGTCGGGTGGGAGTAGAATCTCTTCTATGAATTTACATTACCTCCTCTCAGTAAACCACCAACGCAGGTTGATAATCACAGTTTCTTCTCTTCTTCCTGCAACAGTAAGGAGCTTAATTACTGTACAATATCAATAAGACTTCCTTGATTGAATCCAGGGATGGGAACACTTGGTCAATTATCATTTGTGAAATCTAAAATGGAGAGTAGTTCTAAGGGCAGCTGTATTTCCAAAAGGTCTTCATCTATGATGTTTTCAATAATTGTTTTTAAAAATATGAAACCAAAATAAAGTTTTATTGAATAAATGAATTTACATTTTATTAAAAATTCTAGTACCCAATGTTGCCAAAAGTGAAAGACACATTATTTAACTTGAACAACATTGTAAGACCTAATGTCTTAAAAAAAAATTAGCCAGGCTTGATGGTGCATGCCTGTAGTTCCAGCTTCTTGGGAGGTTGAGATGGTAGGATGGCCTGAGCCCATGAGGCTGAGGTTGCAGTAAGGCGTGATCATGCCCCTGCACTCCAGCCTGTGCTACAGAGCAATACTGTGTCTCAAAAAGAAAAAGAAAATACAAATCCAACAACATATTGTCATTTACTATTTAGTTGGCATATAATATCTGGATGACAACTTGTTAATATGCGCAAACAGTTCTAAAAATACTGTAGCATTAATTCTTATAAAATTATCTTAAGAATTACAGATACAATTTAAAAATTGTGAATGTGACTTTTTAATTATTATAATAATTTGTATCTGTAATAACAGTTACAGATACAATTTTAAAATTGTGTATATGACTTTTTAAATTATTACAATAATAATTTAGAAACAGTCTATACGACCAATTATTAGAAATTAGATATTAAAAGTGGTTTATTCATGTTTCAGAATATTATCCAAAAAAGAATGTTTCTTGTATAATAAAAAGCAGGATATATAAATATATATGACTTATACTCTTTTAAGTTTGTAAAACAAATTGTAAAATATAAGACATAAACCAAATCAATAATATTATTTATTTACTCATTGATGTACTCAATAGTTATTAAACAACTGGAACTGAGTATATAAACTTCTGCTTTTAAGAAGTTTACACTCTTGGTTGGGCACGGTAGCTCACGCCTGTAATCCCAGCACTTTGGGAGGCCCAGGCGGGCAGATCATGAGGTCAGGAGATCGAGATAATCCTGGTTAACACGGTGAAACCTCTCTCTACTAAAAATAGAAAAAATTATCCGGGCGTGGTGGTGGGTGCCCTGTAGTCCCAGCTACTAGGGAGGCTGAGGCAGGAGAATGGTGTGAACCCGGGAGGCAGAGCTTGCATTGAGCAGAGATCTCGCCGCTGCACTCCAACCTGGGTGACAGAGCGAGACTCAGTCTCAAAAAAAAAAAGAAGTTTACACTCTCATAGTAGGTAGGAGATGTAAAATACAGTAACTTAAGAGAGGGGGATAGATACATAGATATGTATAATAAATTTTACATATGTGCATGTGTGACATACAATACTTTATCTCACTGAGTCTCCCTAATAGATGTAACATGGAAAATTATAGGTATCAACCTCATAGTAATGTGAATATTAAATAAATATCTGAAAAGTACCTAAAATAGTGAAGGTGCATTAAATGTTATGTGTTATTAGAAGTTTTCCCTTTTCTCTACCTACAGGTGAACTTTATTTATTTACTTATTTTTTGAGACTGAGTCTCGCTCTGTCACCCAGGCTGGAGTGCAGTGGCACAATCTCAGCTCACTGCAAGCTCCGCCTCCCGGGTTCACGCCATTCTCCTGCCTCAGCCTCCCGAGTAGCTGAGACTACAGGCGCCCGCCACTACGCCCGGCTAATTTTTTGTATTTTTAGTAGAGAAGGGGTTACACCGTGTTAGCCGGGATGGTCTCGATCTGCTGACCTCGTGATCCGCCTGCCTCGGCCTCCCAAAGTGCTGGAATTACAGGCGTGAGCCACCGCACCTGGCCCAGGTGAACTTTATAAATTAGGTCTTCTAGGCTTTGACTGTGGTAAGGCAAATTTGAGAAATTTCCACTTTCCATAAAAACTGGCTTTCAAACTTATTGTCTTGTTAATGTACTAAAATCAACCTTCTTGTCACCTATGGATATGGACTTCATGAATGAGTCAGAGAAGGTTAGGCTACAGTCAATCTATTTAAAAGGGGAATTGAAATAAATGAGCTTGATATTTGACAATTATTATACCTGGTACATCCTATTAAAGTGGATTGATATGTGGGTGATGGGTGAGAAAATAAGGAGAGAGATTTTTTTTTAAAGTTAAAATTGGGCTATAAAGAGAAAGAAAGACGTAGGTAGAGATGGGAAACGTTTGCTTGTGCACTTGATGTTTGATGATGAGTTTTTACAGGTGGAATACTGTAGTAGATCTCTGTTAAATATAACAACAACTTTCTTCCTCTTTTTATGTTTCCGCTTCTCATGCTTTCCATGAATTGGCAGAGTCTAGTTCCTTTCACCTTAAATCTGGGCTGGCCTTGTGACTTGCTTTGATCAACAGAGTGTGGTAGAAATGACACTATGGAATTCCTAACATAGGCTTGCAGAGACCTATAGCTTTCACTTTCACTGTCTTGGGATCAAGTCTTCATGAACAGAAACTCAGGCTTAACTCATGAAGGTGTACATGGAGAAAGAGGCTCAATCTGCCCTTATCTGTGCGGCCACCACAGATGAAGCACCACATATGAAGCACCACATATGTGAGTGAAGCTGTCTTGGCTTCTTCTTTTTCTTTTTTTAACAATTGAGCTTCCACTTGAAGACAATGGTATGAGTGACCCTGATTTATACCACACTGAAGAGAGACTAACTGTCCACGATATATTCTCACCAAATTTTGGAATTGAAAGCAATTAATCACTTGTTGTTTTAAATGATCTTATTTAGATTTAATTCACATACAATACAATTCACCTATTTAAAGTGTACCACTCAATGTATATTCACAGATAAGTGCGACCTTCATTACAGTCAATTTTAGAACATTTAGTCACCGCAAAAAGAAACTCCATACCCTTTAGCTATCATTTCCATATCCCTCATCTCTCTCCAGCCCTATGCAACCACTACTCTACTTTTTATCTCTATAGATCTCCTTATTTTAGACCTCCTTATGAAAAGAATTATGTAATACATGGATTTTTGTGCCTGGTTTCTTTTATTTAACATATTGTTTTAAAGGTTTATTCAAGTTGTAACATGTGAGGAAAGAAAGAATAGCTCAGAAAAGTTTGAGCTATGTGAGGAATGCAAAATTTATTAGGCCCAGACAAACATGATTATGGGACTTTAGTTATGCTCCCCACCCTCACACCCATGCTTGAGGCAATTGTTCAAAGTCATTTTGTTCCTTACTAGTTGCCTCACCCATTATCTTCCATGTTCCTAGAATTTGTAATGCAAAGAACAATATATAGTCAATCAATAGCTTATGTTATTTTATTGTAAATTCTTGGTAAACAACTTAGGAACTAACTGCTCCTTTTTTTTGCCTTTAAAAATCTAGTGGTAACTGCTGCTAATTGTAGTGTATATTCAGGGCAACTCAAATCTATGCTCCCAGGTTGCAATCCTCAAGGTTGGCCCAAATAAACTCTCTACTTATGTTAATTTAGCTCCTTTCATTTAAGTTGATACATGTATCAGTTCTAACAATATTTCATTTTATGTATGTAAAACCTTTTGTTTATCCATTAGTCTGTTGAGGGATATTGGGTTGTTTTGTTGAATAGTTTTCACTTTTTGGCTACTATGAATAACACAGCAATGAACATACATGTAAAAGTTTTTATCTGGATGTATGTTTTCAATACTTTTGTATGCATAAGGTAGAAGTGGAACATCATATGGTAACTCTATGTTTGATCATTTGAGGAACTGTCAGACTGTTTTTCTTTTCTTGTTTTTATGTTGAGACAGGATCTCACTATGTTGCCCAGGCTAGTCTTGAACTCTTGAGCTCAAGCAATTCTCCCACCTCAGCCTCCCAAGTAGCTAGGATTATAGGCCTGTGCTACTATATCTTTAGAAAGACTGTCTTACAAAGCAGCTGTACAATTTTTCATTTCTTCCAACAGTGTATGAGGGTTAAAATTTCTTCATATTTTCACCAATACTTCTTCTTATTTGTCTTTTATTTTAGCCATAATGGTGAGTGTGAGGTGGTATCTCATTGTGGTTTTGATTTACATTTTCCTCATGGATAATGATGTTGAGCATCTTTTCATATTCTTGATGGCCATTTGTATATCTTCTTTGAAGAAATGAAACTGTCTTTGCAAAAATTATAACAGTGAGATAAATCTTACTTAACTGACCCCATCTTGCTTCTAACATCACAAGTTAACTGCCCATGCTCACTCCTGGGCATAGACCAAGCTCACTTTGTGTGGGATTTAGTTTACAGTTTAACTTTGAGACAAGGATGAGAATAATCCCTCCCAAAACTGACCTCCTCTGGAGACTGTAACTGTCTTCATAAGACTAATGAAAGGCCACAAGGGTAAGATTATGGGAGGGGCCTAAATTCTGCTAAAACATAGGTATAGTTAAATGATACCCAGCCATTGTTCCCTACTTTTCTTTTGTTTTCTCTTTTTTTTTTTTTTGAGACAGAGTCTTGCTCTGTCACCCAGGCTGGAGTGCAGTGGTACAATCTCGGCTCACTGCAACCTCTGCCTCTTGGGTTCAAGTAATTCTCATACCAAAGCTCCCTGAGTAGCTGGGACTACAGTGCCCACAATCATGCCCAGCTAATTTTTTGTATTTTAGTAGATACAGGGTCTCACTGTGTTGCCCAAGGTAGTCTTGAACTCCGGAGCTCAGGCTATTTTCCCACCTTGGCCTCCCAAAGTGCTAGGATTACAGGCACTTTGCTTTTATATAATCGCTTACTGATCAAGAGTCATGTAGCCAGAATTCACAAGATTTGTAACTTCCCCAGTTGGTCCTACAGATAACATCACTATTTTCAAACCTAAGATTAGTCTTTGAGATGTTTTTCAAACTTTTACATTCAGGTGAACCAACTGATGCCACCCACACCTGTGACTCACACCAAAGAAATGACTCAAAGAAATTACAGTCCTGTGAGCCTCACCTAGAAACTGACTCAGCCTGCAAAGACAATTTGCATACTCATATGATTTCATCCTAACCAATCATCGATACCCATTGCCCAGAAACTGACTCAGCCTCCAAAGACAGTTTGGATACTCATATGACTTCATCTTAGCCAATCATCAGTACCCATTCCCTAGCCTCCTATCTGCCAAATATCCTTAAAAACCCTAGCCTCCAAGCTCTCAGGGAGGCAAATTTGAGAAAAATCTCCCATCCTTCTACTAGTCTGCCTTGTGACAATTAAAATCTTTCTCTGCTGCAATACCACTGTCTTAATGAATTAGCTTTATTTGTGTTGTAGGCAAGAAGAACCTGTTGGGCTATAACAGAAATGTCTATTCAGATCATTTATCCATTTTTAAATTTGGTTATTTTATTTTTATTTTCATTTGTAGGAGTTCTCTATACTTAAAATTCCTTATCAGATATATCACTGGTGAATATTTTCTCTCATTCTGTAGGCTGGTTTTTTCACTATTTTGATATTGTCCATTGAAGCACAAAAGTTTTTTGGTTTTGATAAGGTTATCTATATTTTCTTTGTTGCTTGTGATTTTGGATGTCACCTCTAAAAATTATTTGCAAAATCCAAGGTCATATAGAATTACCCCTATGTTCTCTGCTAAGAATTTTACAGTTTACCCCTCCATTTTCTTCTAATAGTGTTAGTGTACTAGTTCTTATATTTATGTATTTGATTCACTTCGATTCAACATATTAAATATTTGCTAATTTTTATATATAGTTTGAGAAAAGGGTCCAACATCATTATATTGCATGCAGCTAGCCAGTTTTCCCAGGAACATTTTTTCTTAAAGACTATTCTTTCCTCAATAAATGTTCATGGCACACTTACAAAAATCAGTTGGCCACAGGTGTTTGATTTTATTCTGGACTCTCAATATTATTCCATTTTATGACTATCTTTGTACCAGTACAACACTGTCTTATTATTATTTCTTTGTAAAACATTTTGAAATTAGGGAGTATGAGTCCTCCTACATTTTTTTTTTCAGAATTGTCTTGGGTATTCTGGGTCACTGACAATTCCATATGGATTTCAGAATCAGTCTTGTCAATTTCTACAAGGAAGTCAGCCAAAATTCTAATATAGATTGCATTGCATCTATAGATCAGTTTGGAAATTATTGCCATCAAAATTTTAAAACTTTCAACCTGTGAACATAAGATTCTTTTGAAAATGTAAGTAAATTTCTAACATTTCTTTTTGCAGTGTTTTATAGTTTTTAGAGTATAAGTTTTGAACTTCTTTTGTTAAATTTATTCTTAGATATTTTATTCTTTGTGATGCTATTATAAATATAATTGTATTTTAGATTTAATTTTCATATTGATCATTGCAAGTGTATACAAATTTGATTAATTTGTTTATATTGATCATGTATCCTGAAACTTGCTGAACTTATTTATTAATTCTAATAGTTCTGTAGGGAATTCCTTAAGATTTCCTGTATATTAGATTATGTAATCTGTAAATAGAGTTAGCATACTCCTTCCTTTATAATGTGGATGCTTTTTACTTCTTTTCTTGCAAAATTGCCCTGGACTTAAATTCCAGTACAATGTCAAATAGATGTGGTGAAAACACAACATCCATGTCTTGTTCCTGATCTCATGGAGAAAGCATCCAATCCTTCAGCATTAAGTACATTGATAGCTGTAGATTTTTTCATAGGTGCTGATATGGTTTGCATTTTTTTGTCCTTGGACAGAAACTCCAGTACAATTTAGAATACATGTGGTGAAAGCAGACATCCTTGTCTTCTTCCTGATCTTATGGAGAAATCATCTAATCCTTCAGCATTAAGTACAATGATAGCTATGGATTTTTCATACATGCTGATATAGTTTGGATGTTTGTTTGTCCTTTCCAAATCTCATGTTAAAATGTGATTCCAATGTTGGAGATTGGGCCTGGTGGGATTAGGTCATGGGAGCAGATCCCTCATGAATGGTTTAGTACCATCTCCTTGATGATAGGTAAGTTCTTGCTCAGTTAGTTCACGCTAGAGCTGATTGTTTAAAAGTCTAGGCCCTACTACCCACTTGCTCCTGCTCTTGCCATTTGGCATTCCTATTCCCCCTTCAATGTCCACCATAATTGGAAGCTTCCTGGAGTCTAACTAAAATCCAGGCAGATTCTGGCACCATGCTTCTTGTGCAGCCTGCAGATACATGAGCTAATTAAAACTATTTTCTTTATAAATTACCCAGTCTCAGCTATTTCTTTATAGCAACACAAAAACTGCCAAGCACAGAAAATTGCTACCAGGAGGGGACTTTTTCTATGAAGATACCTGAGGATGTGGAAACAGCTTTGGAACTGGGTAATGGGAAGAGTTTGGAAGAGTTTGGAGGGCTCAGAAGAGGATAGAAAGATGAAAGAATGTTTGGAATGTCTTAGAGACTTGTTAAGTGATTGTGACCAAAATGCTGTTAGAAATATAGATTGCAATGGTTAGGCTGATGAAGTCTCAGATGGAAATGAGAAACTTACTGGGAACTAGAGTAAAGGCTACCCTTGTTACACATTAGCAAAGAGCATGGCTGCATTGTGTCCATGGACCAGGGTTCTGTGGAAGGTTGAACCTAACAGTGATGACCTAGATTATTTGGCAGAAGACATTTCTAAGCAGGAAAGCATTCAAGATGTGGAATGGCTGCTTCTAATGGCCTACAATCAGATTCAAGTGAAAAGGAATGACTTAAAGTAGAAACGTAAATTTAAAAGTGTAACAGAGAATAAAAGTTTGGAAAATTTGCAGTCTGGCCATGTGGCAGAGAAACAAAAAGGATTTCCAGGAGAGGATACAGTCTTTGAAGCAACCACTTGCTAGAGTGATTAGTATGACTAAAAGAGTCAAGTGCTAATAGCCAAGATGATGTGAAAAAGACCTCAAAGGCCCTTCAGAGATTTTGGAGACTGCACCTCCCATCACAGGCCCAAAGGCTTAGGGGAAATAATGGTTTCAGGGGCCAGGCCATGGGCCCACTGCCCTGCTCAGCTTTGCATCAAGGCTGTTCCAGCTTCAGCTGAGTTCATGTCTCACATCCAGGGGACACTGGTACAAATGGCAGACTCCTAAGGCCTTGGACAGATCTGCTTCTGTGGCTATGCAGGATTCAGCTGATAGAGCTGATCTCACAGGCTGGAATTGAGTGCTTATGGCTCATGGCTTTTCCATGCAGAGGGTGCAGGCTGCCAGTGACTCTACCATTCTGGGATCTGGAGGACTGTGACCCTCTCCTCACAGCTCCACTAGGCAGTACATCAGTGCAGACTCTGTGTGGGGGCTCCAACCCCACATTTTCCCTCTGTACTGTCCTAGTAGAGGTTCTCTGTGAGGGTACTCCCCCTGCAGCAGGCATCTACTTGGACACAGGTTTTTCCATACATCCTCTGAAATCTAGACAGAGGCTCCCAAGCCTTAACTCTTGGACTCCAGATACCTTCAGGCTTAAACACCATGTGGAAGCCAGGGCTTATAGCTCTCAGCCTCTGAAGCAGTGGCCTATGCTGTACCTGGACCCCTTTGAGCCACAGCTAGAGCTAGAGTGGCTAGGATGCATGAAACAGTGTCTGAAGACTTCACAGGGCAGCAGGGGCACTGGGCCTGGCCCATGTAACCATTCAGTTCCCCTAGGCCTTTAGGCCTGCAATAGAAAGGGCTGCCACAAACGTCTCTGAAATGCCTTCAAGGCTTTTTTCTCATTGTCTTGGATATTAGTATTTGGCTCCTTTTTACTTATGTAAATTTCTGCAACCTGCTTGCATTCTTTCCTTGAAAGTGGGCTTTTCTTCTCTACCTCATGACCACAATGCAAAATTTCCTAATTTCTCTGCTTCCCCTTTAAATATAAGTTCCAACCTGAGGTTATTTCTTTCCTCACACATCTGAGCTAGGGTGTTAGAAGCAGCCATGCCACATCTTGAACACTTTACCGCTTAGAAATGTCTTCTGCCAGATACCCCAAATTATCACTTTCAAGTTAAAAGTTCCACAACATCCTAGGGCATGAACACAATCCAGCCAAGCTCTTTGCTAAGGCATAACAGGAGGTTTTTGCTCCAGCTTCAGTTCCCAATAAGTTCCTCATTTCCACCTGAGACCTCATTAGCCTGGCCTTCACTGTTCATATCACTATCAGCATTTTGGTCCCAACCATTTAACTAGTCTGTAGGAAATTTCAAACTTTCACTTTTGGTCCCATCCATTTAACCAGTCTGTAGGAAGTTTCAAACTTTCACTCATCTTCTTATCTTATTCTGAGCCCCCCAAACTCTTCTAACCTCTGCCTGTTACCAGTTCCAAAGCTGCTTCCACTTTTTCAGGTATTTTTATAGCAATGCACCACTCTCAGTACCAATTTTCTGTATTAGACCATTCTTACACTGCCATAAAGAAATACATGAAACTGGGTAATTAATAAAGAAAAGAGGTTTAATTGGCCACCATTCTGCAGGCTGTACAGGAGGCATGATGCTAGCATCTGCTTGGCTTCTGGAGAAGGCTTGGGAAACTTACAATCATGGTGGAAGGTGAAGGGGGAATAGGCATTTCAAATGTTGAAAGCAGGAGCAAGAGCATGAGGAGGGAGATGCCACACACTTTTAAATGATCAGATCTCACAATAACTCATGATCATGAGAACAATGTCAAAGGATTGGTACTAAATCATTGATGAGAAACCTGCCCCATGATTCAGTCACCTCTCACTAGGTTCCACCTCCAACACTGGGGATTACAATTTAACATGAGACTTGGGTGGAGACTCAGACTCAAACCACATTGATGATGAATCACATTTACTGAATTGCATCTGTTGAACCAGCCTTGCATGTCAGAAATGAAGCCTACTTGATTGTGGTGTTATCAGCTTTTTGATTTGTTCCTGGATTTGGTTTGCTAGTATTTTGTTGAGGATTTTTTGTGACTATGTTCATAGGAGATATTGGCATAAAGTTTTCATTATTCATTGTGTCTCTGCTAGATTCTGTTATTAGGCTGATGATGGCTTCATAGAATGAGTTAGAGAGCAGCCTCTACCCAAATTTTTGGAATACTTTCAATATGATTGATATAAGTTCTTCTTTGCACATCTGGTAGAATTCATCTGGTCCAGGGCTTTTTGTGGTTGGTAGGTTTTTCATTACTGATTCAATTTCAGAGCTTGATATTGGTCTATTCAGGGTTCAGTTTCTTCGTTATTCAATTTTGGGGGATTATGTGTTTCCCAGAATGTATCCATTTCCTTTAGATTTGCTAATTTGTGTGCATAGAGGTGTTCATAGCATTCTCTGAGGAGTTTGTATTTCTGTGTGACTAGTTGTAATGTCATCTTTGTCATTTCTGATTGTACTCATTTAGATCTTCTTTTTAAAGATAGCTAGCAGTCTATCAATGTTGTTTATATTTCTGAAGAACAAACTATTTCATTGATTTTTTTTGGTATGGATTTTTGCATCTCAATTTTATTCAGTTATCTAATTTTAATTATTTCTTCATCTAGCTTTCAGGTTGGTTTTAAAACTCTTTTCTTTTTAAATTATCTGGCCTCAGATATTTCCTTATAGCAATGAAAAAATGGCATAACACAGATACTCTTCATTAGTTTTATAAATTTTTCTTTTATTTCAAGTTTCTTGAGGGTTTTAATCATGAACACATGCTGGATTGTGTCAAATGGAGTTTGCTCATTTATTGAGATGATTATGTGACTTTGTTTGTTTGCTTGTTTTTGAGACAGTATCTCACTTTTTCACCCAGGCTATAGTGCAGTAATATCATCATGGCTCACTGCAATCTCGACTTCTCCAGCTCAAACAATCCTCCCACCTCAGCCTCCCAAGCAGTTGGGACTACAGGCACGTGTCATTACACCCAGGTAAGTTTTTGTATGTTTTGTAGATATGGGGTTTCATCATGTTGCACAGGCTGGTCTCAAACTTCTTGTTTCAATCAATCTGTGTGCTTTGGCTTCCAAAAGTGCTAGGATTGCAGGCACAAGCCACTGTACCTGACTGATTTTTTATTTTATTCAAGTGATACAATGCATCCCATTAATATAGTTTCAGATTTTGAACCAACCTTGCTTTATCCTGGCCTAAATCCCACTTGATCCTGTTGTGTAATTTTTAAAATATGTTGTTGAAGTCAGTTTTCTAGTATTTTTAATTGTGGTAAAATATATATAACATAAATATTTACATTTTTACCTTTTGTAAGTGTTTGCTCTTTGCATAATATATATTTTCCATATTTTTATTTTAGGTCTATTCTCAATCAAAAGTCTGTCACCTTTAGATAGTATATAATTGAATTTTTTTTATCCAACTTGAAAAGCTCTGCCTCTTCATTACATTGTTTAATATTTTCACATTTAATGTTATAGATATAACTGGACTTATGCCAATTACTCTTTGTTTTCTATATGCTCCAGGGTCCTTTTTGTTCTTTTATTTCTCTTTTATAGCTTTCTTTTGCATTAAGTAAACATTCTTTAAGTAGCATTTAATTTTTTTAAATTTTTTTATGGTTTATATGCTTTTAGCACTTGCTCTAGGGTTTACCATATACATTGAAATTTATCCAAATTAGCTTTAGATTTATCTCAGTTTGATTCTAGTGAGATACAGAATTGTTACTCCTATACAGCTCTATTCCCTGCCTCACTTTTTGTAGTATCCTTTTTACACATATTGCACCTGTTAATGTTACAAACTTAACAATACATTATTTTAAGTATTATTTTACCTCTTTTGTAATTTTAGGCCATTAAAACTTTACTCCCTTCCACCTTATTTGTGCTGTTATTGACAAATATAGCACACATGTTATATTTCTATATGCAATAGGCTCAATGTTATGTTGCATTATATACATATCATTTTATACCACTGCTTTTAAAATCAGGTATGAGAAGAAAGGAGGAAAATATGCCACTTTTTAAATAATTACATGATTTTTCTACAATATTCTTTATTTTTTCAAGTTGGACTGAAAATTCCATCTGGTGTAACTTGCTTTCATACTGAAGAACTTCCTTAAGTATTTCATATATGGCTGGTCTGCTAGCAACACATTCTCTAAGATTTTGTTTATCTGTAAAGGTCTTTCTTTCACTTTCACTTTTTGAACAAAAGCTTTCCTGAATAGAGGAGTCCAGGTTGAAACTTTCTTTGAGCATTTTAAATATATCATCCCAATGTCTCTGGTTTCTGTTATTTCTGCCAATAAGTCAGGTGTGTTAATCTTTTTGGAGTTTTCTTGTAAGTGAAGGGACATATTTCCCTTGTTGCTTTCAAATGTAGTCCTTGTCAGAGAGTTTCATTCTTTTTAATATGATTTGTTCATGGGTTACTTTGTGTTTATACTACCTGGAGTTCACTGAGCTTCCTGGATGCCTAGGTTATTGTTTTTCAATAACTTCGAGTAGTTTCAGTAATTTTTTTGAATATTCTTTTTCTTCTGTCTCCTCTCCATGTACGCTTCGTACATGTATGTTTGTGTGATTAATAATGCCTCACATTTCTCTGAGGCTGTATTCATTTTTCTCCATGCTTTTTTTTCTTTTTCTTTTTCAAGTTCCATAATCTATATCCATTTATCTTTGTTTGCTAGTTTTTATTTTGCCTGTTCAATTCTCTGAGGAGCCCCCCAAGTAAATTTTGTATTTCGATTATTATACTTTTTAACTTTGGTATTTTCATTTAGTTCTTTTTATTAATTTCTACTTTTTTGTCGATTTTTTTATTTGGTATAACATTCCAACATACCTTCCTTTACTTCTTTAATTATTTCCACTAGTTTTTGTTTTTTACTGTTAAATATGACATCTGTGTATTATTCCAGGCAGTTTCTGTTTCCTGCTGTTTATCCCAGCGTATGAGTCATGTTTCTCCATTTCTTTGAAGGTTTCATAATTTTTTATTGAAATTGGTCCTTTTAGACACTATATTATAGCAACTCTGAGTACTGGTCCTCCTGTTCCAGTGTTTCTTTGCTTGTATGTTTAATGACTGGATGAATTGTTTTACTGAAGTCTACCCCGTCTCCTTAACTGTGGTAAACCTTTGATGCTGTGACTCAGGGAAGTATAGTTTTGGGCATGCCCACAGTTATCTTGGGATGTCAGTTGTATTGGTAGGGTGCTCTTCCACTCTTTTCTGACCACATCCAGCTATTAAACTCCACTAGTAGCACCTACTGATTGCTCTATTGTTTTCATCAATATCCCGAGGCTTAAATGCCTCCATTAATTCAATCAAACCAATCCAATCAAATTGTGGTCCCTTTGAGTGACTACTTTCTGAGGTTAGTGTTTCATATTTGTTCTGGCCCCAGGAGTGCTCCTCCCAGCTGTCTTATCCTTGGGTTATTTTCTGCAAATTACCACCTTACATTCCAGGCTATATCTTTATTAGATCCATGAATCTTCAAATTGCCTTTCACCACAATGTCCAATATTTTTTAGAGTAGCTTTAGGTTAAAACTTCTCCATACTTTGTTGCAAATAAAGTCAGTTAATTTGGGGACAGATTAGGAGCTATTGTTTTTTTGTTATGCTTCTCCCCCAGGCAAAATCTCTGAGCCCAAGCTCTGAAGCTAGGGGTGGAGACAAAGGCAAGCTTTTTTCTGAGTGACACATCAACTCTGGGAGCTGAGCACCTGGTGGAAGGGGAGGAAATAGTAATGATGTCGTCTTTGCTTGCATTTCCTAACTTGGAAACACATGCTTATGAACAGGAAGAAGAGCTGTCAGAACCCCATTATTCTTAGCATACTGCACCTGCTTAGAACCTACCTTTCATAAATGGTGGGTGGGCACTAGGAGGAAGTCCCCACCTGTGACCACACTCAGCCGCAACAATAGGCAGCTGAGGACAGAATGAAACTGAGAATCCTTTATCCTCCTAGGAAGAGAGCCCTATACTGGGAGCTGATGTTAGAGTAAGTCCTGTGTTCTAATCTGCAACAATCTTCATTCAAATACTGTGGACTGTTATCTCTCTCACTGAATTTTTGTAGATTTTTTTTCACTAGATATTTATTTGCTGTTGCCTTTAGGACTATTTCCAGAAGCTTCATACAATTGCATTGTCTGCATAATTTCCATCAGTTTTATTGAGAAGTGGGTCAGGAGAGCTCTCATGTTGTTAAACCAGAAGTCAGTCCGTTGTTGTTTTAAACTATTCAGTTTGGGGTAGTTTACAGAGACACTGTAGATATTTAACATGGGAAATAACACAATTGGAGGAATAACTTGGTGTCATATGAACAGTGGGGGAAAGTGAGATTACAGAGAGTGGGCAGGTTTTGAGATCCAAAACATAGTTGACAGATTGCGTTATAATATGTGGATGAATAACTATTTTTTCCAGGAACAAATATTGGAAAAATTTGTGACATAGACTTTAAGAATAGGCATATTTTAATTTTTTTATTATGAAATAGGTCCACTGAGAAGAACAGTGGATAAAGTAAGTATCTGAAGTATTTTCTTTGACTAGGGAAACAGAGTTGAAGGGCCTATAAAATTTGGTAACTGAATTTATGGGTGTAGTAACAGTATTCCAAGTGATGTTATTTTCTTCAAAGCAGAAGTATGGGAAATATTTTGGGTTATTCCTGGAATGGGATTTCTCCAAATAGTTATGGTGCAAACATATGAGCACGAGAATTTAGGATATTAATTTAAAAAAACTTAAATCATGAAGTTTGGGATACGATTTTAAAATAAAAATGTGTATTTACAAACAAGAAGAAAGTTGAGGATTGTTGCACTCAGGGTTCCAAGGAAGTCAAAAGAATAGCTGTTGGGGAAGAATGTGAACAAGTGATCTGAAATAAGCAGTTGTTAGATAATTGTTTATTTGGTTGGGTAACAAACTAAGGCTTGATCACAAGAGTGTGTAGATAAGAGAGTGAACAAGCTCATTGGAAATGAGAGAAAAATCTATTTTAGGTATCGTCACATTGAAACCATTTTGGATAATGGGTGGTGTTGGGGTAGAGTACAGACCAATGATCTGGGTTACAATATGTTAAAAAAGAATAAAGAGAAGGAGCAAGGTGTCAGCAGATGGCAGCAACAAGGGATAGACTGTAAATTTCTAGTAGCACACACTACAAAAGAAGAGCTTTAAGTCTAAATATTCAGTGATGTGGAGATGGTTTAGTAGGTTAAGATTTTTCAAACATTAAGATAAGAAGGTCCCTTATTTTTAACATAGAAAATTTCCTATTACCACTTATCTGAATGAAAAACACAATATGACTTATTTTTTATAAAACTATAAATCAAACCAGAATAATGTTGACAGATATGCTTATAGTGATAATCTCTCTGTAGTAAGACTTTGGCTGATCTTTCTCCTTCTATTTTAATATCTTGTTTAAAATACTTATAATGAACACATTATTGTAAAGTTTAGCAAGGAAATAAAGCTATTTTTATTATGGAAAATAAAATATAATTGACCCTAATCTTTCATTAAACTATTTATTTATTTTTTCCATTGGAAATGAAAGTTGTAATCAGAAGTCATCTATATAGCTGTATATAAATTAGAATATAGGCGGGGATCACTAGGTCGGGAGATCAATACCATCCTGGCTAACAAAGTGAAACCCCTGTCTCTACTAAAAATACAAAAAAAAAAAAAAAAATTAGCTGGACGTGGAGGCGGGCGCCTGTAGTCCCAGGTACTCTGGAGGCTGAGGCAGGAGAATGGTGTGAACCCAGGAGGCAGAGCTTGCAGTGAGTGGAGATCACGCCACTGTACTCTAGCCTGGGCAACAGAGCAAGACTCCGTCTCAAAAAAAAAAAAAAAAAAAAAAAAAAAAGAAGGAAAGTAGAAAAAGTAGTTTCAGGAAGATTATATGCCACAATAGCAAGAAACTTCATGTGCATATTACTCAAAAACAAGTAAATTTAAAAGATTTGCACATAAATTACCATTTATGTACATATCTTTTGCTTTTGAGACAACTTGAACAAGCAAATGTATAGACTTCCTACTTTATCTAATTTGTAGCTAAATATCTATTTTCTCAACTGCAGATACATAATGATAAATCTCTCAATAAAAATGGCAAAAAAATCAATAGAATAAAATCAACTGGGTTGTTTTGTATCTGTTAATGAACATGTAGGAAACTAATCTTAAAAAATATTGGTTATATCTCAGGTTCAGGTAAAAGAAATTTAGTGACATGCTCAGGTAAGGAATTATACAAAAATGAGATTACATATTCCAACAATACTGCAAAGTATTGTTGAACTGGGAATGTAAGCCCTGAACTTCTTTCTCTAAGTTATTTCTTTCTCTAACATTTTCTTTCTTGAAGTTCTCTGGTGCACTTAAAAGAAACCAACCACCATCAGCATATGCCTTACTTTCTGTATTATATTTTATATGAGTAACTAAAGTTTTGGCCACCCAAAGCTTTGCCTTCTACAGGTACTTTATTATAGGTATCTACAGGTGGTAATTAAGTATCTGATTTACCAGTGCTTCCCACGGACTATGAGAGTTCCCTTCACAAATGGAAAAAGGATCATTAACACCTTTAATCTAGTCAGACCAGAGACCAATTCCAGAAATGTTGGAGCCAATTCTAATAACTCATTTCTAAGGTTCTATTCCTCTTGAATATTAGCGTCTAATAAAAATTCAAGGTGAGCTACAAATGCAAGCCACTGATGTATTGTTAAAATATTTAGTAGCCATATTAACAATGTAAAAATCAGCAAAATTAATATTTACTTAAACCAATATATCAAAAATATTATTTTAATATGTAGTCAATATATGGCCTATTAATGAGATATTTTCATTTTTTTCTTACTGTATTTGAAATCTGGCATGGATTTTATAGATATAGCCATTCTCAAACCTTACTAATAATATTTCAAGTGGTCAATAGCCACAGTGGCTAGTGGCTACTGATCTAGAACCCCTTCCATTAGCTGTTTCTGCCTCAGTCAAGGTTCAATCAGAGAAGCAGAACAATATTAATGATATAGAATAAGGGATTTTATATGTAGACTAGGCCTCACACAATTATGAAAATTGGAATAAGCATCTCTGCAATGCAGTTGTCTGGTATTGAGAGTGAAGCTATTAACCATCAGCCAGATTAGCAGTCAGAAAGGAAAACTAGATATGAAACACTCATGATAAGGGACCTACTACCTTAACTGGAACCCACATCATTCTCTCTCTGCCTTAAACTGCTGCAGGGTTGATATGCGGTGAACCTGCAGCTCTTTACCACAAACCTGCACACTCACTTGGTTCAGGACTTTAAAAAGCTGTAAGGAGGCTTTCTGATGGGGCCCATGTCAACCAAGTGAGACTACAGATCAGTGACAAGTGTGAGATGATGCAATGGATGACACTCTATACTAATCTACTGAGCATAAAAATATGGCTGCTACTTCATTTCTGCCTCTCGCATTTATGCAAATGTCTTTGGTAGCCAGTATGAACCCAGAACCTTATAGGAAAGGAAATTTTGGAAAATATTTGCAGCCTGGTGGCATAAAACTGGGGTAAATTAAACAAATAAGGAAAATATACTCATAAAATACATTTAAAATTATGTTAAGTGATAAAAGCTAGATACATTATTAGGTACATAGTTACAGTATAATCCCAATTAAACATTATAATGGCATATTCCTCCACATAAAAAAATTCTTGGAAGAAATATTTTAAAATGTTAACAGATATTGCTAGGTGATTTTTAATTATTTAATTATACTTTCTTTTCTAACATTTTTTAAATTTACATGTGATAGTCACTGAATTCTAAAACTAATCAACATTATTAAAAAATTTACATTTAATGGCATTTTTTTCTCAAACTGTTTGGTATACACCATATATTGTTATAACCACTTCTGACATGTAATGGACCAATCCTTTAGCTCCATTGTAAACTTTTCATGGAAATCTGATGATTTGTCCATCTCCCGCATTACTTCAATGAGTACTAATTTTTTCCTTATGTGTAAAACTCCTTTTGGAATATATGTAAAAATTGCATAGAGATTCCATATTTCACAATATGCGATCAGGAGTATATATCATTTAACTTTTACCTGGAAACTGGGAGGGAAGGAAAGAATTATTTTCACTAAATAAATACATAAATAAGTCTGAAGTCTGTAAGTAAATGTCTTAATTACAACTCAAAAATAAATTGTGTGATTTTAAGCAATACAAAAAGCACACAGAAATGCAAAGTTATGAGTACAGATAAATATGCTAGACTATTTTGACCTCCTACACCAAATTGTTCACACCCTTGCCTCTATAGTTTATTACTCTGCCATGCCTTTCCATCATGGTCCAAATGTGAGGTTTATCTTTTTCACAAGATAATCTTGCTACAGACAATCTAGTTATTGAATATCTTCAGCAAACAACAATCTTGTTAATAGCTTCTTTGTATCCCTTCAAACCATCTTATATCTGGAAAGCAGCTATATATATATGCACTTATACATAAACTTTCCTTCTTCAAGCTGATGATTACTATTTTGTCTGAAGTCATAATGTTTCACAAAAACACTTGCTCAGCTGGTATAGCTTTCTGAAGTCTTTGTTGTTATTTTTCCTTGAAAAGGAGATTGACAGAGGATTTATTCCAACAGCCAATGTCTTTCTCACTCAGAAGCACAGAGACCATTTTTATAGCATTTTTTGAACAATGTAATTCTTTATATCAGACTGATATGAAAAAATAAGGATTTTCAAAGCATCTCCTACATGTGTAAACTTAAATGCTACTTACTATCATCACTCTCATGTGTTTTCTACCTGAAATGGAAAGGTACATTTTAAGGCTTGCTCAAGGAAGGAAAAGACCAATGTTTGGTATCAAAGGAGAAGTTAAAATTTGATCTTTCAGATAATCCAAAAGACAAACTACAGTTCCACAAGGAATACTTCCCGAGATAAGTTTACTTACTGTCAAGATAAATGGTGTATTTGAAGGAGAGGGTAATAGCAGGTGTGAGTGTGGAAACTGTGAGCTTGATTCTGTGTCAGGGGACCAGTGGGAAGGTCTACAGTTAGTACGCAGCAGAGGCAATCAGTTCAAGTTCCAGAGAGTGGGAGTGAGAAACACAAAAGAAAACACTCTAATAAGTAGAGAGTTTCAAAAAAGCATGGTGCATGACATGACCAATGCATGCTGCCGAGACTATTCTTTTTGGAGTAAGAGTCCATGTTACTGACATTCACAGGGGCTTCCTACTTTGTGCTCTTGAAGCACTTTGAACACGTGTGTTGCCCCATTGATCTTAGTGCTTTGTTAATGGTCAGTTAAAAAAGTCAGACATGAAAATAATTTCAGTGAAATTATCTTGTCCTTCTCTATATTCTTAACTCCTAATCAGTAGTATATTAAACAGCTTAATCCTTAATATTTCTTTGTTTCAATTTGATTTTCTTTATTTTAAAGAATATGTGTGACTTGAAACTCTTGAGATTTTCTCTGTTCTTCTAGATTAGGTTGGAGGGATGGGGTTGGGCATATCTAAGAAGACAGGAAGATTATTTTAATTAAGGCTACCAGACTTTCCATTACCCAAGTAATAGATACTTGGTGAGAATGAGATGTTAATTGTTTAGGCAAGAGAAGGGATTTTGGAGGCTGATTGGGGGAAAATCAGATATTATAACATGGAATTTAATTAAGTTTCTGTTGTGTGGTGTATAATATAAATTCTCTTGTCCATTGCATTAGGGAACATTCAGTAAGATATTATTTTTATTGAGATATTTTGAAACTAGAATTGCTTTAGGAGCTGTATCCAAGTGCAAATCTTGAGTCAAGATAGGTGTTGGGTAAGAACAGAAGCAGTTCACAGGAACATTGTTAAAAACCAGTTTATAGTAAGCAAAATAGTTTCTCAGTAAGACTGACAGTTTTATAAATATATAATCATGAATGCCATTACTAATTTTTAAATAGTAGCTAACATTTACTGACTGCATATTATGTACTAGGCATATGCTAAGAACTTTCTGTGCATTGCAATTCTTCAGGGATCTAGAACTAGAAATACCATTTGACCCAGTCATCCCATTACTGGGTATATACCCAAAGGACTATAAATCATGCTGCTATAAAGACACATGCACACGTATGTTTATTGCGGCACTATTCACAAAAGCAAAGACTTGGAACCAACCCAAATGTCCAACAATGATAGACTGGATTAAGAAAATGTGGCACATATACACCATGGAATACTATACAGCCATAAAATGATGAGTTCATATCCTTTGTAGGGACATGGATGAAATTGGAAATCATCATTCTCAGTAAACTATCACAAGGACAAAAAACCAAACACCGCATGTTCTCACCCATAGATGGGAATTGAACAATGAGAACACATGGACACAGGAAGGGGAACATCACACTCTGGGGACTGTTGTGGGGTCGGGGGAGGGATAGCATTAGGAGATATACCTAATGCTAAATGACGAGTTAATGGGTGCAGCACACCAGCATGGCACATGTATACATATGTAACTAACCTGCACATTGTGCACATGTACCCTAAAACTTAAAGTATAATAATAATAAAAAAATAACTTTCTGTGCATTGATTTAATCCACACAAAAGGTCATCATAGTATTTTGCTACAGTAATGTCCTCTAGTGAATTATATCACTGTCTTTTCTAGTCCCTTCTAACAGTGACTCTAGCTTTGATAGTGTAACTTATTTGAACAATATGACATCAGCATACAGGATGAAAACAGAGACTTCATAAGCACTGGGACATTGGACCTTGCCAGCTTGAAATGCCGCTGTTATCACAAGGTGAAGAAGTCTTGCCTAGCCTCCCTAAGGATGAAAGACCCCAGAGAGATTGAGGCCCAGCCACCCTAGCTGAGTCCTCATCCAATCCATCATTTGAAAGTAGCTACATGAATGAGCCCAGACAAGATTAGCAGAATTTAATCTACAGAACTGTGAGAAATAATAAATTCATGGTGCATTAAGTCATTAAGTTTTGAAATGATTTGTTACTTGGCAATAAAAAACTGATACAGAAATGTGTACCATAAATGAGTGCCCTCTTAAAAAATCTAAATCATGTAGTATCGGCCTTGGAATGAGGTGGGAATAAAGGCTGGAAAGGAAAAAGGAGATTGTTATTGGAGGTGGTAAAATCAGTGGAGTAAACTACTGTTGGAAGGTAGAAAGATGATGGCCCATGTTTTGTAGTAGTGAAACAATTGGCAAAATTATCAGCTCCTATTAAGTGGAAGATAGTGGTCTGACAAAGGAGATTGCCAAGCACTGTGTTGAAAATGCAATTGACTTTCATAGCTGCATAGTTATAAATATTTGATACAATCCTATAGATAAATACCACTATTGTCTCCAATTTACAGTTGAAGAAATTAGGCTTAAAGAGGTAAACTTACTCAAGGGAACTGCAATGTTATCTCTTATATTGCAGATTCAGCTCTTTTTGTTTGTGGATTACTGTTATAGTGTCTATTATAGTGAGGATTTATTTATAAAATTATATGAAGTAGTTATATGTGGTTAAAATGTTGTGAGTCATAAGCCAAAAGGATGGCATAGTAGCAAAATTTGAATATAAATAAAAAGGTTGAATATTTCTTAGGTATTGTGAAATATTTTATGTGTTATATCCAATGGCGTATGTTTGCTTTGTCAAGTTCTTATAAGAAATATTAAAAAATACGTTCCTGGCATGTACAAGTCAATAAGATTTAGTCTTACATTTACTCATACTGTCTTATATTGTCTCTATTCTTTCATTAAATTAATACAGAGCCACTCAGCCACCTATAGTCTTATCTATAGCAATAACTACTTAAGAATCTTCCTTCTACTCAAGTCTTCCCATGCTAGTTCTTGTTGAATGTCTTTAGAAGAACATCTGAAAATACCATTTCTTAAAAGTCATATTTATGCTGAAATATTTTCAGCATTGACCAAATTTATTTATTCTAGCATTATGTAGCTCCTTAACCTGTCCTTGTCTCTCACTGTCCCTTAAGTAAGCTCTGCTTGTTTGCCAAATTGGCCTAATCATAGTTCCTTGGACCCATTTCTCATTTCCATGCATTTGTATATTGTGTTCTCTTATCTAGAATGCCCCTCCACATCCTTTGTTAATCCTTACTAGTCATTATTACCTGCTAGTATTCGTAAGAACATAAGAGCTACCAAACTGGTTTTAATTAGAACACTTCCTACGATCAACTGGTGTCTCTTCTTGGACTAATGCTTTGAAATTATTTGCTATTATCATACCCATGGTGAAGACAGATTTGCAAGAGACTCTGAAATTTGCTAAAAGCCCTGGGGAGAATAAAAACTATTGTCTTCATAGTGGTTAGTCTATTGACCAGTTCTGCTACAATATGATTTGTGAAGTAATTCAGAGAAAAGAGAGTAAATTTTTATGAGTAAAAGGCTTGCTTCAAACCTTCTCTGATTATATTACTACAGATATATGGATGCAAATTAAAATTTTTACCTTCTTAGCATTTGGATGTTTAAAGTTACAAAGACCAAACATTCAAGATTTTAAAAAGATTGACATTGATGAGATGCAGTCAGACATTATTTAAAACATTAGTATATGTTAAATAATTATTGCTTGTTCAATGGTTAGGTAGAATTAGTTGACAATGCTAGAAAGAGCTATAGGGAAATTTAACTTTACATTGTTATAAATATAGCTCAACCAAAAAGGAAGTTTGCTCAAGAGAAAATATAAAAAATTAATACTCTTAAAACATTTCCACATTAAAAAATAGTTACTGAAATATTCAAAACAACAGAGATTTAAAATGGTACCAGTTTGTTTTTATAACAAAATATTAAATTGAAATTAAATCAAATTTTAGACTCTAGAAACTTCACCTTTCAGTTACCCTGACAATTTAACATAACATAATTGTGAGGAATAAAATCTTTTTTTCACATAAAAGATAATTTTCATAATAGATTTCTATTCTAACTATTCATTTATTTTATATCAAAGCAACGGTAATGGTAAAAGTATAATGGTAATGATAGTAATGAATTTCCTTGTTTAATTACTGTCACAGGTATAAAATGAATTAAAATTAGCAAATATATTCTTTGATATTTTTTAATGGTTGAAGAGAAAAAGGCAAGAAAGGGAGAAAGTAATGGGAGAGGAGGGAGCTCAAGAGAGAGGAAGAAAGTCAATTTAAAATATATCATAGCCAAATATTGCCTCCTGAGGGTTATGTTTTAGAAATGGAAATAAACCATTGGCCAACTTTTTGAGTCAGGTGCTGTAAGCAATAGAACCTACCGAGATGACATTTAAAATATTGATTGGTGTTAAGCAGTTCATAGGTCTTTTGGAGAAAACGCGGTCATTGTGTTCCACATAAAGGCAAGGACTCTGCCTCTTACTTCCACATCCTTGGCCCAAGCACAATGCTCAACTCAGATGTGTATGTGCTCCACATATTTTGTGAATGAATAAATGGTATTTCTGATATTGCATTCACATCCAGTCCAAACAAAAATGAATATTTCTGTTCAAATACTTAGCATAATTCAGGAACTTTTTATGCTACAAAATGATTGACAAATATTTGCCTTCATTACTCACCAATATAGGAAGCCACAATGCTCATTTAAATATATATACACAAGTATATGCGTGTGTCCGTGTTAAAAATGCATGGATTAATCTTCAGAGAACTCTTTATTACTCAGATCAATCTGGCGTATGTACACCTTTCCCAGATTATCTGTTGCTCTCTTTTTTCTTACTTTCATCTCCCTCTGCAAATAACCAATAAATATCATCTAGAAAGAATTATAATTTAGTATGTAGTTGCAAGCACTGCCTGAAAACTTGGATGCTTTTCTAATGTTAAAGGTTTTTTTTTTTTGAAGTGCTAACATAGATGCAGAAAAGTTCACAAATAATAAGTGCACATATTGATTAACCCAGCAAATAAACAAACCCAACATGTGACTGGCACCCATATGAAGACATAAAGCAGTGCCAGAATCCCAGGGCTCTCTTCATGCCCAAATCACCCCAAGAATCACCTCTGTTCTGATTAGGTAGATATGGGTCTGAATTTTATGTAAACAGAATCATTCAATGTATATGTTTGGCTTCTTTGGCTCAACATTATGTTTGTGAGATTCGTCTATGTAACATGTATAGCTGCAATTTCTTCATTTTCATTGTGATATGGTACTCCATTGGATGAATGTATAATACAATTTATCCATTCTAGTGTTGATCAATGCTTAGTTGTTTTATTTTATCTATATTAAAAATAGTATGCATACATGCAGTTGTTCGTATTTTATGGGCACTTTTCTTGCCTTTTACAACTAGTTGTTTAGGTTCTTTTATGTCTTTTGGAGAATGCATACCTGTGTATCTTTGGGAGAGGAGTTGTTGGTTCATAAAGTTTGTGTATAATCATCTTTAGTAGGTTTAGCCACGGGTTTTCCAAAGTGGTTGTCTCAAATTGTACACCTGCTAGCAGTGTGGGAGGGTTTGGGTTGCTGCAGAACTTGGACATTTTTCATAAACTCTAATCTTGATCCTTAAGTCTGCTGAGCTACAATTGTCTTCTTTCCTTTGGTCATAAATTAGAAAAGTGAAACTGGGCAGATGTGCATAAAGGAGAGATATTTAAACTTCACTAAATTCCTGAAGTCAATTAATAGAAGTGTGCTATTTGCTCTGAAATTGGCTGCCTTTTAATTTTAACTATTTGATTAAAACAGATCAGATCTAATTAATTATTCAAAACAATAACAAAATGATTATATTAATTACTTCTATTTATTTTTTCTCTGTGAAATATCACACACATATCTTTATCTAGATCCTGAGCATTCACCAAGTAAATAAGAGTCATTTTTAGTATTGTAAAAGCCCCCACAAGATAAATAATACATATTCATAAACAAACAAAATTAGAAGTCAGTGTTCTGAAAAAAGGAGTGCTTGAAAAACACCATGATTTTAAGCTTTACAGAACATATCATTGTACTCAGTGTAGGAGGTGAAGACAAGAGGCAATTTATTCTGCAGCTGGTTTCGAAATAAACACAGCAAAGAAAGATAAGGAGTGAAAGAGGGATAAATCCGCTGGTAGCAAACTTGATGGACAGACAGGCTGCCATTAACAATGCTGTTGCCTTTGTAAGTACAGAGTGATGTGGAGATACCCTGGCATTTATACTGTAGACGTGGTCCTTAAAGATTTTACACCTCCAATTCCTTAGAATTATCAGCTATCTCCAGCCTGTCAGTCATCCAAGCAATCTTAGATTTTTAGCTTGCAGGCCAGGCAGATTATTGACATAGCAATCCTGGGTGATATAACACACCCTGACAAACAACAGTGAGGGGATTGTGTTTACCCCTTTCACTGCACCAATTCAGCTAAATTAATTCTTAACACTGAAAGTAAACTTTCTCTTGATAACCATTCACTCCCTACCAGTGTTGTTTTGCTACACAGTGCTAGCTCAAGTGGAGGCGTAATAGAGACCTGATGCAAGTAATTTAGTCTGGTGGGGACTAATAGAACCAGAAGGTATCTGTCTTGACAGCAAAAGGGTTAATGAGGGCATCTGTAAATATAAAACTCTGTGTTAGAATAGAGCTAAGGATTTGACTTAAGTATCAAAAAAATAGGAGATTTCTAAATTAAGTCTGCCACTCTGTTCTTAGTTCACTCCAGGATCTATAGAAATTGAGCACACATAACTCCCAGATTATGTTCCAAGTCTAATAATCAAAGGTAACATAACAAACAGCACAAAACAAACAGATATACAAACAAAAAAGATCAAACAAAATGTATCCTAAGCAACTTTAAAACAACAACAACTATATATATATATATGTGTATATATATATATATATATATATGTATGTATTTGCCCATAGGCAGTGTTAGCATTTGAGTAATAAACTCTTAAAGTAGGAGCAAGCAGAGGTTGGAGGGGGCAAAAAATAATATTTGAAGGCAAAGCATTGACACACCCTTAATTTTAGTTGTTGTTTGGGGCACTGCTAACATTTGGAGCTAATTTTTTGGACTATGTTAATTTTTAAAAGTATGTTACATGTTAAATCACTTATACAACGTAACTGCCATGTGTAATTGTTATGTTGAAATTACTTCTCTGGTCTCATAGAGTTTTTTAAGTGAATTTTAAGAGCATTAGACTAAAATTCACATGTTTTTAATGGATAATTCTAATGCTGTCATAATTATATGAAAATATGTCTTTCAAATGCTTTTGAAATATCTTGAGATATATATTTATGTACAGATGTTCCTCAGTTTTATAAAGCTAACATGAACATTGCCTCCTTTGAATCTAGAACTTGAACATAACTTTCATAAATGGTGAATTTTTATAGAATACATGAATACATTTGGTTAAAATTTATATTTTATACACAATCCCAACACAATGCATAATTAAGTTTTAGAGTCAGCTAAAATCAAGGTAATTAAAAATATGAAAATCAGAGAAATCAAGTGACTTGCTAAAATTTTATCACTTTAGATCCGTCTCATGCTCATTACATTTTTGGTGACATCTAGGATTTTTATTTGTGTATCTATACCTGGTTCCACTTTCCCTTTAAATGTAACCTAGACAAACACCCACATGTTGAGTAACCTTCAATACTATAACCTCACTGCTCTTTCTCATAAGTGCTAAGTATATTACCAACTTAAAGCTGTTATGCCTGCCCCCTGCCATTCCCAGATCTTTGCATGGTTAGGTTCTTCACAGAAAGGAGCTGGAATTTTGCCTTGCCTAAGACATCTTTACCAATACACTAATTAAAATGCCATCTTTTATTCATCTTCTATCCCCTTACTCTGCTTTATTTTCTTCATGCATATATCACTACTCAAAAATATACAATTTATTAATCTGTTTACTTGTTGATTACCTATTTCCCCCACTAAAATATAAGGCCCATGATGACTCTGTCTTATTGTCACTGGAGTGTGTCTATGATTGAGTGAATGTCAGCAAAACTCTGTTGAAAGAATGAGGAACTGATTCTGGTAATGTCAGTGAGAATGCACAAGGGATAAATGGTGAGAAAATTGGGATTGCATATTCAACACAATTTACTAGACTAATTGTAGAAAGCAAGAGCAAGGAAAGTCAAGATTACTATGTGTTTTCCATTATGACTACTTAGGAAAGTAGATAAAACAGTATACAAAACGTATTTATTGAGAATATGATACATTTACCTTTGCCCATATGTTGAGGCATCAAAGAGGCATCCATATAAGCATATCCTTAAAAAAGATTAGAAGGATGGTTCTCAACCAGGGGTGCTTTTGGACCTCAGAGGACATTAGGTGATATTTGGAGACAGTTTTCATTGTCGCAACTGGGGGTTGCTACTGGCATCTGGGGGATAAAGGCTAGAAATATTGCCAAACATTTCACAATGCACAGGACAGCTCCCCACAACAAAGAATTATCCGGTTCCAGTTGTCATCTAGAAACTGAGTTATAAAGCAAGATAATGTGATATCAAGAAACTGGGTTGGAAATACAGGTAAAGATTATATAAAGATAAAATGAGATCAGACAAGCTATCCAAAAGAATGACTGCAGATATGTAATAGTAATAACTGACAATTTATCTAACATTACTGACAGGCACAGGTCTAGACATTTTGCATATATTATCTCATTCAGTTCATAAAGCAGAAATGTGACATAATGGTCATTATTATCATTGTTTTTGAGATAAAAATATTAGAGCTCATAAAGTGAAGCAAACTTGCTCAAAATCATAAAGCTAGAAAATAGTAGCACTAAGACTTAAAACCAGAGAGTTAGACCTCTGATTTCAAACACAAGTTTACAAATTACTTTTACAGTAACTTTTTTTAAAGGTAGCAAGGGAGATACAAATAATTAGTTAGAAGCTCAGAAAACCTATGAGAACAATCTGAAATTGAAGAAGCTCCCAAATACTTCTAAAAGCAGCTATCTTACTTGTGATGTGCAGTAGTTTGAGGCAATATCAGGATGGGGGAAAGATATTTTGAGTTCCAGAATCTCAATCTTGAGAAGCAGAAAATAAGATCAAGTGATAAATGTTTTGGAATAAAATATGACCTCTGAGAGAGCAGAAAGCTTGGAACAATCCTGTGGAAAATGTACTAAGGGTCAATATGAAGTACATTTTTAAAATGTGAGTAGGCAGGTAAGAGCCCAGATGAAATACAAAAGCATAGGTTTTTACAAAACCAAAACATCAATTTTCTTCCCTTTTCCTGGAAAGATGTAATTGATAGTGCATACTACCTGATGCTCGGCTTGACATGGAGTATGATAAAGTATAATTGGTAGAAGAACATCTCAGTTGGGTCCAAATTCATTGATGAAATGGCTGGTTATAGAATGACATGATGAGAGGATAGTCTAGATAGAGGACGTGGCTGAGTAAGGTCTGGTTCTGGAGGTTGTTATAATAAATACGAGTTAGATTAAGGGGACTGAAGGATGAGGTATGGATAGAAGTGTAGTTTAAAAAACTCAGTTTTCATAATTTTTTCCAACTCACTAACTGAGAAGGATTTTGATGTGTTGCTATTGAAGTCATAAAACCCATTAAACATAACAGCAAACTTTCCTCTATGAAACGTACTGACATGAGAAGAGTTTAACATTTGAGCTAGATCCTTCCTACTTACAGTGTTTTTCTCTGACGAGCAACATCTTCATCTCCTAGGGTAGACATTACTCATCATAAATGCAGAATTTCAGGCTCCACCCCAGAACTACTGAATCAATATTGGCCTTTAAAGATCTTCTGTGATGTGTATACCCGTTGACGTTTAATAAGCACCTCTCTAGGTTACTGATTTTTTCATACTGATTTTCTTGTATTTTTTCTAAGCCATGGATTCTTCTTGTGAAATAAAATATTATGTTAAATTGGGGATAGGTGCATGGCTAATGTCATGTCTTCTCACTCATCCATACTGCTGTCTGAGACGCTCCTAGTGCTCTGCGAAAAAGAGTTTGCAAACCACTGGCCAAAGATGTTTCAAGATCCTTAATTGTAGGTTCACATGTTGTGATCTGTGACACAATACTTATGTGACATTAGCCTGGCTATTGGAGTGCTAAATTTCCTTCATTCTTGACAACTGGATAGTTTTTAGTTGATCTGCTGTTTGATAAAACTACAGTTTATCTTTTCTAATGTAACAGACCTAATTGTTAGACTTTAAAGTTATATATAAATTGTTTTATTTTTCAACTGAACTCCAGACTTTGTTTGCATTTCACCAGTTAGTCCTTAATGTTCTCTTTATGTTCCATGTCTAATTTGGGGTACTACCTTGCACTGGGTTATCTTGGCTTCCCAAGCTCCAATGGCCTGTGAAAGATTCTTAGGCTTTCTTTGTTTTTTATAACCTTGACAGTCTTGAGGATTACTGGCTAGGTATCCTGTAGAATCGTCACCCAATCTGGGTTGGTCTAATTTTTTTTTTCTCAGATTAGTCAGGATATAAATTTTTGGAAAGAATACCAGAGAGGTGAAAATTTCTTCTCATCACATTATAGCGGCAGAAAATGATATTTACATTAACATGACTGATAAGATTAACCTTCATCACTTGGTAAATGTAGGTTTATCAGGTTTCCCTACTAATAAAAAACTCCTTTCCCTACCCTATTATTTGGGAATTACTCATACTTCAAAGGAGGTAACATTAAGCTCCACTTCTTAGAAGGTGAACTATCATGTATGTACATTTTTAATTTGGTTGCTCACAACAGTTTAATATTAGGAAGTGAGCTCTGTAGTTGATAGGTGGCCTCTTGAATGTAGGGACCTCCCCGTAATCTCTGCATCCCTAGCTTTAGGCAAAATGCTAAGAATGCAGTACATATTTCATAATTCTTTGCTATTTGAATAAAAAAGTTATTTTTTATAAAGTAAAAGTGTCACAGATTACACAGCATTTCAATTTCCAAAAGAATAGTTCTCCTCAGGTGGCAAATTTAAAAGGTTCATTGTGTGCCAGAAATGTTTAGAGTCCATGCTGAACATATCAACCAAAGGATTGTGTTGAAACCTGAAAACTTGTCTATGTTAGCTTATTTATCACATCTATAGTTTCGTACTTACTGTTTTATAAAATATACAACATTGGAAAAATGGTCTAATGGTGTGTTACTATAGCAACTAAAAATCTAAAATGTTTTTCAAATTATTTAGTATAAATAAACACAGAAGAGTGACACTAATTTCAACAAAATAATGCATCTCACTATATCTACATTATATATAAATTTACATGTATACATACAGAGATCTATGCGATTAACTTTTTGAATAGTATATTGCCATTGATTTATTCTTAGGTATAATGGTAATTTAGTTTACAGAATAGCTCAAAGGTTATTAAAACATATTTTAGTGGTGGTAGGTGTTGGAGTTCTAACTAATATTTTCCTTACCTTCACTATATTTTGAAAAATAGAATCATAGTGTGTGTATGTACATATATAAAAACATTTATACACATATAGTAATGCAGACAATGACATATTTCTTTATCAATTAGTATGATAGATGCAAATATATATGCTCATAAAGACATATAAGCCATTGTACAAATAAAACTGAAAGACATTATGCCTTTCCTTATGATACATTAGAATAAAGAAAATCTGTCTGTGTGGCACAAGGTTAATCTAGGGGAAAGTTTTCTATTATTTCTGACCTGTGAAAAATTTTCTAGTATTACTAGGAGCAATGAAAAATGCTATAAATTTCCTTAAATCAATATATTTTTGAATCGATCACCAGTGCTCACAGAAAAGGAAACTGGCTGTATTGTAACAATGATGATTTGTACATTTAATTATTTATAAGAATACAACAGTCAAGTCTCTAAAAATCTTTCCATAAATATTTCTCAATATGAATCTCTGTTATACACAGTAATGCTACTTCATCCTTGTTTCCAGCCATGTAGCATAAACCTTTTCATTAGTACATGCCTTCACTTATGGGAATTGCTTTAACAAAGGGATCTAGCACATCATAATGACTTTTAGAGTTAAGAGAGGACTGTGGCAAAACAATAAATACCCCATCTTATTAAGACACGTCAGTTATGGCAGTACTGAGCTGTTTTATATTTGGTTTCCCCACAACACATTTCAGTTCAGGCAGAAACCCAGGGATGCACTCCAGAGAAACACATAATGAGGTCAGATGGAAAATCTTGTCTTGTTTCAGATATGAATTCAATCCATCCTTCCTTTCATGTGAGACAATATTCACAGAAGCAACTGCCGCTGACATGTTTTAACTTCACTGACACTGAAAATCTTTTCTCCTCAGTTGGTGCTTTAGTCTTCACCTGAAAAAAAAAAACTACACAGAATATTATTAGAAATAGCCACAGATTTTAAAAAATCAGGTTGTGCCGGTTTATTCTTTTTTTATATTCATACACAATAACCTTGACTACCATGCCAGTTAATTTTTGCCTTATAAAATATAAATAATGTAAATGGATGCTAGTTAAGGCCATTGTTGTTGTTGTACTGTGTCTTTCGAAGTCGAGATTCTTGTAAATTGGGCAGGAGAAGCAGAAGATATAATGGTGTGGAAAGGGATAAAGAATAAAATAATAATGGCTTTATGTTTTCAAAACCACAACCTTGGCATTTAGCTGTCACAAGGAGGCTGTTCATTTTAAAACCAGCACCCAGATGCATGCCGTGTGATTGTATGAAGTCAGCGCAATGTGTCAAGACCTGCTTCTCTGGTCTTTTCTGTAACTATTTGAAAAAGAGCTAAAGAAATAACTTAGCATTGTTTGAATTGAAATTATTTATATTAACATTCTAATAAGTGTTCTCTTGCACACTATATGTAATTTTGTCCTTACTAGTAAGGAAAACTAGAGCAACCTGAATCCAGTAATCAAGTTGCCCATAAGAAAACAGAGGAGATACTTGATGCAAACATGGCCTTTGTTAGAAATTACATAGCATGGTATGGAAGGATGGTCTAAAAGGCAAAAAATGTTAATGTTCCTTTGAATGCACATTCCATGGTTCAGAAGAGATCTGTGTATGAAGATTTTTCCCTGTAAAAAAAAAAATACCAAATTGTAGATTTCTTTTGTGATATTCCTGCCTCAGATTTACTGTGTCTTTCCTACTTTGTGGGCAACATGTTCACAGGGATGGAATAGAAATAAGAAAAGGCTGGAATATTAGCATGGTTCCTACATTCCTACATTGAGCCTTAGAGTCCTAATTTAGCCTTCAGGAGGCAGCTGTTCAAGTCCCACCACAAGGAGCCAGTCCTTGCCCTCTTGAAGTTTTCACTTCTTCATTTGAAAAAACATTCTTTGTAGTGTTCTTTCTAGAATTAATACTCCTTTTTTTTTTTTATTTTAAAAGCATCCTAACTCTAGTGATAGAGTTTATTCTGTGAATGGAAAACTAAAGTAGAAATCATTTTTCCCCAAACTCTATTCTGTATGTGTAAGTATTGATGGTGACTTACTTAATCTCTGTATTAAAAACCAGTACAAGACCTATTTTAAAGGGCAGTGCTATAGTTTCAATATTCCCACCAAAACTTACATTGAGATTGAATTGCCATTTTACCAGTATTGGGAGTGGGGTCTTAAGAGGTGATTAGTTCATGAGAGCTCAGCCTTCATGAATGGATGAATGCTATTATCACCAGAGTGGGCTCTTGATAAAAGGATATATTTGACCCCATTTCTCTCTCTGTCTCATGCCCTGGCTTGCCCTTCCATCATGGGGTGAGGCCCTTGGCAGGTGCTGGATTCATTCTCTTGAACTTCCCAGCCTCCAGATATGTAAGCCAAATAAATCTCTTTTCTTTATAAATTATCACTGCTGTGGTATTTGTTATAGCAGCAGAAAATGGACTAAGACAGAGAGATTTACTATCTCCTGAACAGTATGCCTTGAGTTTCATAGAGAATGTTGCAAATCATTTCAAGTTAATATCAAGTTATCTTGTCATTCCGAATATAATTTTGAAGATGTAAGTTTTATCTAACATTCATAGTGAATGTTTCTGACCAAATGGTTCAATTCTAATACTTCAGTAAAATTAGTAGCATTTGAATCTGTCTACCTTAGTAGAGACTGAGACAAAATAAAAATATAGCCAATAAATGGCAAAGGAATGGAAGAGTCTACTGATGTTGGGTAAAAAATCTAGCTTTAAGTATATATCCAACTCTTTCTACTTAATGAGTGACCAGATGAGAAAGTTGCCAGTACAAAAGTTGGCCTTAAGTTAGTACTCAGTCAGCATGAGATGAATGAATACATGCTGAATACAATAAAGAACATGTATTAGTAAATAGAAAAGTACAATAAAACTAGGAAATATACTTTTGTAGAAAATAGAGGACACCCATTATCTATGATGTCATCACAAAAATGTCAAGTTAAGCTGCAATCAATCTTTACAAATTTTATTTATACTTTTAACTCCATATTTTTATCATTAAATTTATGGTATGAGACCATTAAATAATCCATGTCATGATTCACAAAATTATGAAATAGTCTAGTTTGTTCTTAAATTAAAAAAGTAGCATTTTCTTTATAAAAATTCAAATAGTTAAAAAATCAGAAAGCAAAAATATACATCCACTTGACACCCTAATTACTTCTGGCTCACTTCCTAGAAGTTTCTTCTCTAGTCATTAAGATTTGTTTTATAGGTATATAAGCATATTTTAAATGATATTACCTTACATATTTTATTGTGGTAAAATATATACAACAAAAATTTGTATTTTAATTATATTAAGTATGCAATTCAGTAACACTAAATTGATTCAATTTGTGCAACTGTTGCCACTGTCTGTCTCCAAATCTTTCATCACCCCAAACAGAAACTCTGTACCCATTACTCAACACCTTCTCTTTCTTCTTTACTCCCAACCCATGCTAACTTCTCATCTACTTTCTGTGTGTCTATGAATTTGCCTATTTTATATAATTTATGTAAGAAGAATCATATTATAATTATCCTTTTGTTTCTGGCCTATTTCATTTAGCATAATGTTTTCAATGTTCATCTATATTGCAGCATGCATTATGAACTTCATTTTTTATGGCTAAATAATATTCCACTGTGTGTATACGTCACATTTCTTGTTGCTCATGCTTTTGCTCATGCATCTTTGTTGCTCATCCTTTTGGTGTCATACCTAAGAATTTGTTGCCAAATCCAGGATCATGAACATTTGCCTATGTGATTTTCTCTAACAGCTTTATGTTTTTCAGCTCTTATGTTTAGGTAACTGATCCATATTGAGTTAATTTTGTATATACTATGAGGTAGGAGTCCAACTTTTTTCTTTTGCATGTGGAAATCCAGTTGTGCTTGCACCAACTGTCAGAGACTATTCTTTACTTATCGAATAGGCTTAGTATCTTTGTCAAAAATAAATTGGCTGTAGATTAATGGTTTATTTATGAACTCTCAATTCTAGTCTATTGGTTTGCATGTTTTGCCTTATGCCAGTACCTCGATGTTTTGATTTCTGTAGTTTTATAGTAAATTTTGAAACTGGGAAGTACAAGTCCCTCAACTTTGTTCTTTCATAAAACTCTTTTGTCTATTTGGTGTACCTTGATACTTTATATAAATTTGAGGATAGGATTTTCTATTTCTGCAAAGAAGGCTGTTATCATTTTTTCAGCTTTATGAAAGTGTAATTGACAAAAATCATACATATTCGAGGAATACAATGTGATATTTTGATACACGTATACACTGTGAAATGATAAATACAACCAAGCTAATTAACACATTTATCACCTCACATAGTTACATTTTTGGTATGATGTAAATACTTAAGAAGTACTTAGATGTATTTCTTAACAAATTTCAAGTATACTGTACATTATGATTAACTGTAGTTACCATGCTGTATGTTAGATCTCTGGAACTTATTCATTTAATAACTAAAAGCTGGTACCCTTTGACTAACATCTCTTCATTGCCCCAACCCCTTTATCCCTGGTAACCAACCTTCTACTCTGTTTCTATGAGTTTTACTATTTAAGATTTACTATTTAAGATCCGATATTTAGATCAGGCAGTATTTGTCTTTCTGCACCTAACTTATTTCACTTAGCATAATGTCTTCCAGGTTCAGCCATATTGTTACAAGTGACAGAATTTCTTTTTTTAAAGGCTAAACAATGTTCCTGCGTGTGTGTGTGCACACGCATGTGTATACACACACAATGGAACAATAGTGTAATTTATATAATTACACACACACACAGAAACACACCACATTATCTTTTCTCATTCATCTGTCAACAAACAGATTGTTTCTATATTTTGGTTATTGTGAATAATGCTGCAATGAACATGAGTGTGCAGATATCTCTTCAAGAAACTGGTTTCGTTTTCTCTGAATACATACTGAGATGTAAAATTACTGGATCATAAGATAGTTCTATTTTTAATATTTTGAGAAACCGCCATACTGTTTTCTATAATGACTTTACTAAATTATAATCCCATCAATAGTGTACAGAGTTCTCTTTTCTCTAGCTCCTTGCCAACAATTGTTTTTTGACTTTTGAAAATAGCCATTATAACAGGAATGAGGTGATATCTCATTATGGTTTCAATTTGCATTTCTCTGATGATTAGTGATTTTGAGCACCTTTCCATATACCTGTTGGCCATTTGTATGTTTTCACTGGAAAAAATGTCTATTTAGGGTTTTGCTCAGTTTTTAATAAGGTTGTTTTTTGCTATTGTTATTTTTAATATATTTTGTATATTAATCCCTTTTTATAGACGTGGTTTGCAAATATTTTCTCTCATTCTGTGGGTTGCCTTTTCAAATTGTTTATTGTTTCTCTTGCTGTGCCAAAACTTCAGTTTGATGTAATTCTGTTTATTTCTGCTTTTATTGTCTGTGCTTTTGGTGTTACACTAAAAAAATTATTGCCAAGAGCAGTGTCAAGGACCTTTCCCCCGTATTTTCTTCCAGAAGTTTTACAGTATCAGAATTTATGTTTAAAACTTCAGTCCATTTTGAGTTGATTTTTGTGTGTAGGATAAGGAATACAATAAGAGTCCAATCTTAGTGTTTTTCATGTGAATAGCCAGCTTTCCCAAGGTCATTTATTAAAGACAATGTCCTTCCGTCATTGTGCATTCCTGGCACCTTTAACAAAGATTAGTTGACTTTATATGTGTGGGTATATTTCTGGGCTTTCTATCTTGTTCCATTTGTTTATGTGTTTTTATGCCATTTTCAACACTGTTTCAATAACTATAGTTTTGTATCAATAATATAATTTTGTAATCAGGAAGTATGATGTTTCCAGCTTTGTACTTTATGCCCAAGGTTGCTTTAGCTATATGATGTCTTTCATGGATCCATACAAATATTAGAATTGTGTGTTAGTCCATTCTCACGCTGCTGTAAAGAACTGCTTGAAACTGTGTAATTTATAAAGAAAAGAGATGTAATTTACTCACAGTTCCGCAGAGTTGGAGAGGCCTCAGGAAACTTAGAATCATGGCAGAAGGCACCTCTTCACAGGGCAGCAAGAGAGATAATGAGTGCTAAGCAAAGGGGGAACCCCCTTATGAAACTATCAGATCTGGTGAGAACTCACCCACTATTCATTCTATTAATGTGACTAGAATTTTAATAGAATTTACATTAAAGTCAGGAGACTTTTTGGGTTGTATCAATATCCTAATAACATCCAATCATAGAACATATTTTCCAATCATAGAACATGGATGTCTTCCCTTTTGTTATGTCTTCTTTAATTTTTTTTACTAATGTTTGTGAAGTTTTCTGTGTACATGTCTTTCATCTCTTTGGATAAATTTATTTCTGTGTATTTTAATCTTTTAGATATTATTCTAAATGAGATTTCTTTCTTAATTTTCCTTTTGGACTGCTTTTTGGTAACATATAGACACACAACTGATTTTTGTGTCTTGGTCTTGAAACCTGTAACTTTGCTAAATTTATTTATTAGTTTTAGGGTATTTCTTGATTTTTTTTCATTCCTCCTTTCTATAGGATAATATCATATGTGAACAGAAATAGCTTAACTTCTTCCTTTTCAGTGTGTGACTATGTATTTTTCTTGACTAAATCATTCTGACTAGAATCTCTAGAGCAATACTGAATAGCAGTGGAGAAAATAGGCATCCTTGTCTTGTTCTTGACCTAAAAGGGAAAGCCCTTATTCTTTCAGCATTAAGTGTCATGTTATCTGTGGATTTTTCATAAATGCCCTGTATAATGTTGAGATGGTGTCTTCTATTCCTAGTTTATGGAGTGTTTTTTGTTTATCACAACATGGTGTTGAATTTCTTACATGACTTTTTTGCATCAATTAAAATGATCATATGTTTTCTTGTCCTATTAATGTGCTGTATTAAATTAATTGATTGTCATATGTTGATCTAGTCTTCCATTCTTGAATAAATCTCACTTAGTCCTGGTTTATAATTCTTTTAGCATGCTTTTGAAATTGAATTGCTAGTATTTTATTGAGAATTTTTGTGTCTATATTAATAAGGATTTTTTTTTGGTAAATTTTTTTCTTCTGTTGTCTTTATGTGGTTTTAGTATCAGGGTAATGCTGGCCTCACAGAATGAGTTAGGAAGTGTTTTCTCCTCTTCCATTTACTGGAAGAGTTTGAGAAGAATTGCTATTAATTCTTCTTTAAATGCTAGATATAACGTACCAGAGAAGTTATCTGGTCCTGGGCTTTTCTTTGTTGAGAGTTTTTTGATTACTGATTCAATCACTTTGCTCGTTCTAGATCTGTTAAGATTTCCTGCTTTTTCTTGAGTTAGTTTAGGTAATTTGTGTATTCCTAGGAATCTGTGTATTTTATCTTGGTTACCTAACTTTTTGGCATATAGTTGTTCATAGTATTCTATTATAACTCCTTTTGTTTCTCTAAGATCAGTAGTAATGTCACCACTTTCATTTCTGATTTTAGTTATTATCATCTTCTATCTGGTTTTGTTGGTCTAGTTAGATGTTTGTCAGTATTTTGTACCTTTTCAAAAAAATATCTTTTGATTTCACTGCTATTTTGTGATCAAAGAAAATACTTTCCATGAGTTTAGTGTTTTTAAATTTATTAAGATTCATTTTGTGGTCTAATGTATTGTCATTTCTGGAGAGTGTTACATGTACACTTGAGGAAAAATCATGCCCTACTATTGCTAGTTGGAGTACTGTATATGTGTCTGCTATGTCTTGTTGGTTTATCATGTTGTTCAAGTACTCTATTTTCTTATTGATTTCCTGTCTACAGTTTTCCATTATTAAGAGTGATGTATTCAAGTCTCCAAATATTAGTGTAGACTGTCTGTTTCAGTCTTCGATTCTATTAATTTTTGTTTCATTTATTTTGAGGTCTTGTTTGGTACATATGTTTGCAGCTTTTGTATCTTTTTGATGAATTGACTTTTTTATCAGTATATGTATTTTACCCTTACGCAACAGAGGTTTGAACTGCACAGATACACTTACACATTTTTTTTTGCCTCTGTCACAACTGAGACAGCAAGATCAACCCCTCCTCTTTCTTCTCTTCAGCCTACCCAATGTGAAGACAGTGAGGATGAAGACATTTATGATGATCCACTTCAACTTAATGAAGAGCAAATATATTTTCTCCTTCTTATGAGTTTCTTATAACATTCTTTTCTCTAGCATACTGTATTGTAAGAAAGCAACATAGAATAAGTTAACATATAAAGTAAGTGTTACCAACAGTAGGCTGTAGTAGTTTAATTACTGGGGAGTCAAAAGTTATATTTAAATTTACAACTGTATAAGGATTAATTCCTCCATCTCCAGTGTTGTTTGAGGGCCAATTATAATGTCCTTCTTTGTTTCCTGTAACAGGTTTTACGTTAAAATATATCTTGTCTGATTTTAATATAGTCACTCAAACTCTCTTATGGCTACCATTTGCATCCAACATTTTTTTCCATCCTTTTGGTTTCAACCTGTTTGTGTCTTGGATTGAAAGTGAGTTGCTTGTGGACATCATATAGTTCAATCATATTTAAAAACTTCATGCTGTCAATCTCTGCTTTTTGACTGGACAGTTTAATCCATGTACATTTAATTTAATTTAATTACTAATAAAGACTTACTTAGCTGAAGTCAGGGAAAGAAAACAAAATTACAAAAACAAATAAGCAAATAATTTAACTGGTAGATGAAGATCAGAATCTGTTTTCTAAAAATAAATTTGAGCAAATCAGTTTCTACAATATGTGTGAATACATTTAATATTCCAATTTTTAAAAATTGAACTTCTCAGATGAGATATAAAATACACAATAAACAGCAATCATGTTGGTTTCCCATTACTGCTATAATGAATTACCACAAACATAGTGTCTTAAGACAATACAAATTTATTAGCTTATAATCCTACAGGTCATAAGGCTAACACGAGTCGCATGGCTCATCATACAGCCTTGTTTCTTTTGGAGGCTCCAGAGGTGAAGTTATTTTCTTGCCTTTTCTGGCTTATAGAGGCTTTCAATATTCCTTGGCTTATGGCCCATTCATTCATCTCAAAAGTCAAAAATGGTGAGTTAAGTCCTTCTCATGTTGCATCTCTCTGATCCTTCTTCTACCACTCTATACCACTCTCTGGCCACAGCCAGGAAAGTTTCTCTGCTTTTAAGAAATTGTGTGTTTAACTTGGACCTAACCTGATAATACATATTAATCATCCTATCTCAAGATCCATAATCTCAACCGTATATTGTTTTGCCAGGTATGGTAGTACATTCATAGGTTTTGGAGATTAGAATATAGAAATATTTGGAGCCATTATTCTGCCTACAACAGTCATATGCTGTATATGAGAGGGTAACTAAAATATATTGACAGAAAATTTGAAGGTAAAGGAATAAAAAAACTCATAGTGTCCCAATACTGGCCAAAATAATATTGGTGTCGATATGACATTATTAGATAAAATATTCTTTCATCTTAAAGCATTATTAAGGAAAAACATATATTTTCTTCATTTGATTGAGGGTACAGTTTAAATAGAAGTCAGTTTCCTCTGCTCACCTGCCTGAGAATGTCCAAGGCCTTACTTCCCATTTTTATATAAATATAAAAGCTCAAATACAAGTCATTGGTGCCATTTTAAGGACCTTATGCTTTTCTGATCAAATTAAAGCTTTACTACACTAGTTTCACTGCTTGGCCTACACATTTGGCCTAAGGAATGCCTAGTTATTGAGATTGTTTTGTTTCTAAAGTGATTTAGGTGTCATTTGCACTGTAATATCAAAATCCTTCAGCATAGGGCCTAGAGAATGCCAATTGCAAATGCGATCAGTGCTACCTCAGAAGGTCATACAACGCAAGGTGAAAAATCTGGGATTTGTTTCAAAACACTAGTTTCATTTAGTAAAGTAATCTTGTGAAAGTTAGTTAATTTCTTTGGAAACTCGCCTTATTTTTCAGTATGGTTAAAATTTGTAATGCAAATCAAGTAACCATCATCAATATTAAAGATGTTAAAGGAAGAGACTATAATGTTAATAATACATGAGATATATCACCTAGTATGGGAATATATGTGGCGCATATTTTAATGGTTAAGAGCATGGCGTCTGGAGCTAGACAGCCTGACTTTTAATCCTTATTCTTCTCCTTAAGCAGTGTGACCTTGGGTAAGTTACTTAACTCTTCTAAACCTCAGTTCCAAACCTATAAAGTGGAGTTAATAGAACATAACTCATAGGATTCTTATAACAATAAGGTATGTTACTATTTGCACAGCACTACTTGCAAAATAAGTACAATATAAATCAATACACTTTTGTACTTTGATCAAAATGCCAGGCAAACAATAAGTCTTTTTTGAGTCCAGTACCTATTACTGCTAAGAACTGTGCTGGCTAAAGTGAATTTTATATATATATATATATATGATATTTCATATAAAACGTGTCCTGAAAATGACATATATACTTTAAGTAGATTAGAAATATTCAGTTTATGCACTGTATAGCCCTAGATAAAATAGAATTCATAAATTTAGAGATTAGCTTAAATTTTATTATTTTATAAGGAGAGAACAATTTAACAGTATGTGGGGTCAGGGGGATGCCAAAGGAAGGATAGATCACTGTAATAAATCTATGGTACATTCCTTTGCTCTTTTAATGTTTCTCAGGTGCTGTAACTGCACAGGTAAAAGGCAAAAAAAAAAAGGGGGGTGCTGTCAGACCCACAATGTATTAATAAGCCACATGTACTTAAAGTAATAGCTGAGGCCTTTTTAGTGTAGGCAGCAATGTATCCTCCAGACTACAAGCAGAAAGTTGAACCTCTTACATTTAGCATACACTTGTAGGCCCAGTACTCTGTACTCAAGAATTTGAGGGATTATATAATAATGAGGGAAAACACATGGTTATTAAAGCTGAGAAAGGATAACAAAATGGCTAGAAGGAATTTTTAGGGGTATACCAACGATGTGTTTGAAACAATACAATGGCAATATTAAGTGCTTAGAAATGATGGTCCAGATAGACATCAATGATATCTGACTATTTCATCAAAGCAACATGAACACCCAAAGCATCCAACAAGTACAATGTCAGCAACATTCAGCAGCTGAAGTGTCCTAGTGTTAGTCCCTATAGATGATCATTCTTACGTAATCCAATTTAATTATTAAAGTTCTATATATTCACAGATAAAACAATACAAGTTTTCTTGAATTTCTCATTGATATCACTATCATCTATGCATGTAATTAGCATATCAACATATTTACCCCAAGATCCTCGGGGATATGCATTCTTTCATTAGGTTTCCTAATTGGAAAACCTCCCTAACCTTAAGATTTAGTCACTTGCAAAATAATGAGGGCAAGAGAAACTATTTGGTGAAAGCTTAACAAAGTTCTCTTCTTTACCATTTTAGATTTTTTTTTTTGCATCGCTGAAATGCAATTTTAAAATAAAATCAAACTCCTCAAGAGCAACACACAATTACAAAGCCTGTGTGAAATGGAAGATCAAGATGGCTACCCTGTGCTTCCCTTGTGGAAGTAAATCCTATTATCTATTGTTTTCTATCAGAAACCCACAGAGGGATTTCCTCAAGGCCCAAATACTGCTAGTATTAAAAGCTCTTCTAATTCACTGAAAATATAAGCATCTTTATAGTTTTATCAGTCCATCTCTTTTTCCCCTTTCTGTCTACTCATTGCAGAAAGCTTTTCCTCTCCTCTCTTCTCCTCTCCTTTTCTCCTCTTCTCGTTTCTCTGTATGTATGCATGTATGTATGTATATATATTTACATACATTTACATACTTTCTGTACATATAGATACTATATCTACACATTTGAAAATATCTCTGCTAAATTTATGTAATGAAAAAATCTAAGGTTTAAAGACCAATTTTTTAGATCTTTTATAAAGTTAAGGATGATATCAGAATATTGAAGTCAACTTGATGCTTTAAATTTTTAAAAATGGAATACTTAAATTTCTTTCACCTTACCCCTGTTTTAACTTTAAAAAGATATTTTACTATATTCTTGGAAACTATTTGAGCATGAACAACATTTACAATATAATTAAATTCTAAACTATCTTAGTCCATTTAATGCTGCCATAACATAATACTTGAGACTTGGCAATTTATAAAGAAAAGAGGTTAATTAACTCACAGTTCCAGAGGCTGGAAAGTTTAAGGGCATGCTGCTTCAACTCATGGCAGAAAGCAGAAGATGAAGATGGGTACAAGACGGATACATGCAAAGAGATCATGTGGCAAGAAAGGAAGCAAGAGAGACAAACCAAAGAAGCCAGAGTTTTCAGACTTTTTTTTAAACAACCCACTCTTTCAAGAACTAATCCATTCCTGTGAGATCACTAATTTGCATACCTCCAAGAGAAGACATTAATCTATTTGTGAGGAATCCACCCCCAAGATCAATCATCTTTCATTAGGCCCCACTTCCCAATACTGCCACATTGTGGATCAAATTTCAACATGAGTTTTGGTGAGACAAACCACATGCAAACCATAGCATTCTGTCTCTGGTCCCCTCAAAACTCATGTCCTTTCACATACAAAATACTATCATTTCAATCCCAATAGTTCCAAAAGTCTTAACTTGTTTCAATATCAAGTTAAATGTCTAAAGTCCAGCTATGAGCCTATATATATATATATATATATATATATATATATATAGTTTATTTCCTTCCATGTTACAATATGGAACATACATAGGATAGGCATTTCTATTCCAAAAGGAAGGAATAGGCCAAAAAAGAAAGAAGTTATAGGCTTCAAGCAAGTCCTTTACCAAGCAGGCAGAATGTTAAATCTTAAACTTATAGAATAATCTCTTTTGATTTCATGTTCCACACGCTATGTACACTGATGCCAAGGATGGGCTCCCAAGGCCACAGGCAGCTCTGCCCCCATAGCTTTGCTGGGCATAGTTCTCATGGCTGCTCTCATGGGTTGAAGTTCAATGCCAGCTGCCTTTACATGCTGAGTTTGCATGCTGCAGTGACTCTACAATTCTAGGGTCCCAGTAATGGTTTTTCCTCTGTGTTCATTGGCCATTGTCCCGGTGGAGGCTCTCTGGCAGCTCTGCCCCACATTTCCACTTGGCATTGCTCATTAAGGGCTTTCTGAAATGGTTCCACCCCTGCAACAAGTCTCTGCCTGGGCCTACAGGCTTTTCCATACATTTTTTTGAAATCTGGATGGAGGAATTCACACCTCCACAGCTTTTGCATTCTGTGGGCTTGTAAAGTTAATACCGCACATGGAAGCCATCAAGGCTTACTTCCTGTGTTCTCTGTAGCAGCAGCATGAGCCACACCTGGGGCTGCTTGAGCTATGGCTGCTGCAGCTACTGATCAGGATAGGGTGAGTAGCAGCACTCTGGGCCTGTCCCTGCAAACCATGCTGCCTTCCTAGGCTGCTAGGCCTGCAAAAGGAGAGAAAATCTCAAAGATTTCTGAAATGCCTTTAAGGCTTTTTCCCATTATTTTAACTATAAGAACTTGGCTTCCTTTTTGCCGTGCTAATCTTTTTAGCAAGTGGTCTCTCAGCCAAACCCTTGGATTCCTTTCTTGAAAATGCCCTTTTATTTTCTACCACATGGCCAGGTTATGAATTTTCCAATTCCTTATGCTCTGCTTCCCCTTTAGTTATAAATTATGCTTTTAGGTCATCCTTTTGTTGCCATAACTTAGCATAAGATATTAAAGGTGACCATGTAGCTTCTTGAGCATTTTGCTGCTTAGAAATTTCTCCTGTCAGATATACTAGAAAATCACTCTTAAGTTTTACATTCCATAAAGCCCTAAGGCATAGACACATGCAGGCAAATTCTTTGCTATAGTGTAACAAGAATGGCCTTTTCTCTAGTTCGCAACATCCTCTTCCTCATTTCCATCAAATCCCTCATTAGAATGGCCTTACTACATGTATTTCTATAAAAATTTTGGTTATGACAATTTAGTCAATCTGTAAGAAGTTCTGAACTTTTCCTTGTCTTTTTATCTTCTTCTGAGCCCTCATTAGAACACCCTTAATGTTCCATTTATGGCAATGCAGACTTTTTCTAGTTTGCTCCTCTAAATTCTTTCAACCACTGCTTATTGCCCACTTCCAAAGCTGCTCCTACTTTTCAGGTATCTGTATAGCAACACCCCACTTCTGGTACTAATTTTCTGTCTTATTCCATTTAGTGTTGCTATAACAGGACATCTGAGACTGGGTAATTTACAAATAAAAGAGGTTTGTTTAGCTTACAATTTTGCAGACTGAGAAGTTTATGGTGAAAGTGAAAGGAGAATACAGGTGCATGCAAAGAGATCACATAGTAAGAGAGGAAGCAAGAGAGAAACCAAGGAAAGCAACTCTTCTAACAACCTACCCTTATGGGAACTAATCTATTCCCGTGAGAAGAAGAATTTACTCACAGCCATGGGTCATTAATCTATTCATACTGGGTTCACCCACATGATCAAAATGCCTCTCACTTGGCTCCCATATTTCCCAACACTGCTGCATTGGGGATCTAATTACAACATGAGTTTTGAGGGGAACAAACTACATCCAAAACCATGGCTATCTTCTGAGAATTTTTGCTATAAAGTGAAATTGGAGTGACAAGATGCAGAACTAAGACATAAAAAGAAATACTGAAACAATAAGTTAATGTATAATACACATTATTACATAAAATTAAGTTTACTTTTATTCTGTGTAGCTTATTCATTCAAATTACTTAATGTAATTACTTATTTTACCACTGTTTATTAAGCTTTGACTTGCGCTAGACACAATGCTCATTCCAAGAACACAAAGTGAACAATACGTTGTCCCTTCAAGGAATGTAAAGTCTAGTAGAGAGAACACAGACAATAAACCAATTATAAAATTTTAAGTTGTTAAAATGAAAGAGATGCTTAACACAAAAGGGGAGTGGGAGAATGTAGTCTAAGAAAAGGTGACACCTAATTGACCTTAATATTGAGGGATAAGCTAGTGAAAGAGGTGATCATGCACCAAGTGCAGATAAAGGAAACATTTTATATGGGAAACTGCAAATAGATGATCATAGTTGAAAGAGTAATATTGAGGACTGAGTGATATAATTAAAGATGATGCTGGTGATAAGTGCAAGATATAATCTTCCAAGAAATATATGATCTCAAAGGCATTGCTAAGGAGTTTTGGTTGTATCCTGTTGGTAATGATAATGGGGAGTTGTATCTGGAAAATAAAGTCCAGGAGAAACAAAGAAGACACAATGGCAAGGCATACAATTAAAGTGCCTAAGGCTGCAAAAGGCCTAATGTAAATAATACCACATGGAAATATATAATTTTTTCTGAACTGGAAAAGTATATTTGTTTCAGTCACTTACAGAAATATATCTTGCATTATAAGGAGGCTATAGTTATGGAGATAGAATGATATTATGCATTCAAAATGACCCTAAAGTTTTTCTAATCCCATGAAAAACAAAGATGAGAGTGAATCATAGTTTCCAGACAACTCGGTATGTATAGAGATTACCTAATGAGCATAGTAATGTAAATCTAGGCAATAAAACAGCTCTTTGTATGGGTCTTTTTTATACTCGTAAACTATTAATCTCAAGAGTATCTTTGCTTTAGAGATTTATGTAAAGGCATGTTTTATCTACATTTATGAAGTTTAAGTTATGAAGACTGAGTTTAGCACAAATAACCCTGTTCCCACCACTTGTAAATACCTGTACCTGTCAACATCTTTTCAAGCCCATTTCCAGGAGGCCTCTCCTGATTTCCCCAACTGGATGTCATCTCTCCTACCACCCCTAAGTCCTAGAACTTTAATGTTAGCGCTCTTAAAAGTATGTATTTTACTACTCTTAAAAATATGTATTTTACTTCACTTAAAAAATATATTTTCACATAAGATTTTAAATTTATACCCAGGTCGCAAGATGCAATAGATATAAAATACCAAAGTGAGATACCAGGCAGAAATATGGATTCTTCAAACAAAATGACCTAGAACTATTTAGTGTTTCTCTGTTGGTGGCGCCTTTTTAGGTGTAATAGAATTATCCCATGTCTTTTCAGAGCATTTAGACTCAGATTCCTAGGGAAATGAGTAACTGTAACACCATTAACTCTTTGTAATAACTAAAATACGCTCCTGTCCATTTACTGTCACTTCTTCAGAACCATTGTGTAGGGTGACTCTGATATCCACAAGAAAGATTTAAAAGGGTTGGGAGAAAATTTGTGAGTAACATTTTTATAGAGAACTACTGAAGTGGCGTGAGTCTCATCCTTTCAAGTACGAAGGGGTAAGGGGTAACTGCCCCTTTTAACAAGAATACATTGAGAGCTTAATCAATGATATCTGTGGGGTGGCATAGTGGACTGGGCTCTGACTGCCCTCCTCCTTAAGACATCTAGAGATTGAATGATGGGCTGCTTTGGGGTGAAAGCAGGCATCAGGAGAGTTATGATATGGGTATGTCAGGCCTCAGGAGAAGGTGTTAGGAAACAGAAGCTCTCTGTGTTCCCCTGCCCCACTTCTACCTGCCCCTAGGTGGGGCTCTAATCTTCCCCCTCTTTTCTGATTGTGGATTTTAAGACCCTCTGGAGAGAGGGTTCCATCCTGTGCCCTGAGGGAAGGAATTCTTATGTCTTGAAGCTTCCATAAAAACCCAAGAGGACCAGATTCATGGAGTTTTCAAACAGGTGAACATGTGGAAGTTCCTGGAGGGTGGCATGAGCAGGGAAGGCAGGAAAGCTCCATGCCCCTTCTCCATACCTCCATACCTCCATACCTACACGTCTCTTCATCTGTATCTTTTGCAATATTCTTTATCATAAACTGGTAAATGTGAATGCTGGATTCTGAGAGCCACCCTGAGTTCTGGGAGTTGCCCCAGCAAATTAATCAAACCCAAAGAGGAGGTCATGAGAACCCCAACTTGAAGTTGGTCGGTCAGAAATTCTGGATACCCAAACTTGTGACTGGTGTCTGGGGCTGGGAGTGCAGTATTGGGGACTGAGCCCTCACCCTTTGGGATCTGATGCTATCTCCAGGTAGATTGTGTTGGAATTGAATTGGAGGACACCCAACTGGTATCTGCTGCTTGAATAGTGTGGGGAAAAAACCCTCACACTTGGTCACAGAAGTCTTCTTCTGAGTTGATAACTGTTGTGGTGGTGGTATGAGAGTAGAGGAAAAACACAGTTTGAGTGTTTTTTCCCCAAACAGTAGAAGACAAACAGCCTCTGGTCATCTGGGATTCTGTATGATAGCACTACCTAGAGGAACAGAATGACCCCAAGAGCAATTTTTAGACTGTGGAAAGAGGTACAAACAACATCTGGAAAAGTGAGGTACACCGTAAGTAATCAGAACTCCAAATAGAACTTTTTGAGGAACAGCTGAAAGCCTCCACAAGGGTCAGCTTTAATTTGCCACCTACTTTGTTCAGAACAAGTACTTCCCTTATGTCCCATATTTTATAAGCTTAACACTGGGGAGTCAGAAACCTAAATTATCAGCTCATAATAAGTATGGAATGAAAGAAGGACTATATTCTATCCCATTGCTAGCGGCTTGAGGAGAGAGGATTAGTAAATCAACTGCTAAATCATGTTGTGAATTTGCATTATTATTCAGGACTGGATTTCCAATTTTTGAAATAGATGTATATTGTATTTGAAAATTGCAGCTACCAAAAAAAAGAGATTATAACCTAACTATGAGAAAAGACTGTATGGGACTTGACCAAGGTTTTATTTAGGAACAGGGAAAGTTTACCCAGAGTGTATATATTTTACTTTTTAAGTAATCAAGTAAGATTGCTTTTTGATTGAGTCCAGTGCTATACTTCTATAATGTGCCTGTTACACATTCATCATATTCTGATTTGGATTACAATTTTTTTGTGCTCATATCTTATATCACCTAGTAGACTCACAGTTCTCAGGCTATTTTTTTCTTGCTTTTAAAAATGCTTTTTAAAAAGTATAATAAAGAGATGTGTAAATCACACATCACTATTGTACTCCGTTATAAATATTTTTGCCAAAAACAGCCCATCAATTGCATGTTTTTATCCTGCAAAGGAGTGTGAGATAGTACTCAGTGTGAAAATGTGTTATAATATTCTGGGTGCCAAAATAGAGAAGAGATAATACAAAGAGTTCATCCAAATCAACTTTAATAAATTTATATTCCCCATAGTCTAGTGCTATTAACTCTTTGGAAAATAAATAAATAAAAGCTTTACCTCTTTATGACAAAAAGTAGACATTAAAAGCAGAATGAGACACATATGCAAATACGATACTCATCCAGCCACTTTTACCTTGCTTTTACCAACGATTTCTGCCATCAAACTTGATATTTAAAAATCCGCATAAAATCAATGGGTGTTTCTATATTCATTTGAAAATTAGATGCACTATATTTTAGAACTTGTCTTTTTGCCCCCAACTAATGTAACGTAGTTTCAGAAAGCAGGCAGGCCATTTTTCATTGGTTTATAGCTCATCCTACGGAAAACTCTACTCTGTACAAAGCTTCCATATTATTAAAAAAATGTACATGCTTTTTCCTGGTAGAGGGATTAAATCACTCAGTGAGGTACACCATCCAAAATATTCGCCAGAGTAGATTTACAATAAACTAAACACATTTGGACAGAAATCATAGCCCAAGAGCACAGAGCATTTTCTGTGCTTGAATTCCATTCTTGATAATAATAGACAATCCCTCACAATTCAAAGACAGTTCTGTACTTTCTCAGGCTGACAACTGTTGTCCTTGTTGGGGTAGTACTCTCAAGATAAATTATGAATGCAATGTGAAAGCTGTAAAATTTGTTGTATCTTCTATTATCTCCATGTTAAAGGCCACAAAAGCTCTTCAGTGAAGTCAGCCATTAAGAAATGACAGGTATTGCTATCAGGCTTCTTTATTGCCTATTACCTGCAATGACAGCAGCTGCTACACCACCACTCTACAGCCTATCACATTATTTGCAGCTAAAGCCAGCTACTGTGTCATTTTGGCTCATTTTCTTGACAGTGCCATCATAAATCCATGCAGCTGCGGGGTAACTGTCGACTGTCTCGATTATCTTCATAGCCAGAATGAATCTTGAAATGTGTGTAACAGGCAATGACTGTTATGGATCAGGCACAAGGGCCATTCCCTATCCATCCTGTCAGGTCCGTGAAGCAATGCCTCCCACAAAGAGAGTTCCTAAACTACTGTCATGTAACCGAGTAAAGTACCTGAACTTGGAAAAATCTTGAGGCTCAGCTGGGGAACCAAGAGCTTTGCCTGGCCTCCCACTGAAGCCCTGGTCTAGGATCATGTGGCTTTCTAAAGGAACGTTTAAAAATGTAAAGTTTTTCTTCCTGTGAGTTTCTGAGGCCAGTATTTTGATAATAAGATAACTAAGATTATTTAAGGAAATAGGAAACATCAATTATTATTTTGGGGGAAAGCAAATATTTGCTGATGCTTATAGGATTCCTGCAAACTAAGAATGACAAATAAAACATTTTTCTCAGGGTCATGTAAATCCTTGATATTCTCTTTCAGCGGTTTTTAAATTGGATTCTGGTGAGTCCTTGGCCCCTGCAGAGCCGCCTAAGGGCACTGAGGGAGGTGAATCTGGAAAGCCTCTAGAGACTGACTTCTCTGCTTCACCCAGAACAGCTTCCCTTTCATCTTTCATATACTGAACTTCTGCATAATATTACTTTTCCTCAGTAAAAATGGTAGGCTATCTAAAAAAATAAAAATAAAACAAAAACTTTGGAATCTTGGAATGTAATCGTACCCAGTCATACTCTAATGACCAAATGAATGAATTTGAAGTCCTATGTGCATAGTTTTTCATCAATTGTGAAACCACCAACAGTTTTCAGACTTGGGTTTTCTGCTACAGCTTCTAGACGGCCTACTGTTACAATTTCATTTCTTTAAGTCTGATGAATGTGTCCAAAAATACCTTCATCTTGGTTGTTAGGTTCAAAATTTTACTATTCTCAAAAAAGTGAGAATTATTGGATACATGCTATGTACAAAGTTACTATGCTGCCCAAGGCTTCATTTATTGAAAGTCACATTTGTGCTAAAAAAATGCTTTTCTAAACAAAGATTTTTCCCTATTAAAATAGATTAGAAAACTATAAGTGTTATGGCAAAACGTATTGTAGAAGTGATGAGACAAAAACAAGTGTATAACATTATACAAATATTTTCCTTACTTTTAAAAATTATAACCATCACTGTTTAATCTAATGCTCCATTTTCCCACTCATGGTGAAAGAGAATGCATTCTTCTAAGGCAGTCTGAATTTTACTTGAACTAGATCTCATCTTTTTCTCGCCTCAGTTCTGAAACGTTTTATCGTTTTGCCATACAAAGCCTTGAATGGCTTCCTTATAGCATTTAATCATCAATCTAGTTACACAGTCCTGTTTCCTTGTTAGCATTGGTAATTACCATGACAACAGCCAAGAAACCATTATACTTTTCTATCATTATTATAATTATTATCACTATTCTAATTTAATTATTAAATAATTGAGAGTGGCTGTGATTCTCAAACTGTAGTGTGCTCATGTGCTTAAGAGTGCAGATGTAGGTGTATGGAAGCCACATCTGAGAAATGCTGCTATGAGGTCCCAATCATTTGCTAGAATGTAGTTTTTTTTTTTTTTTGTAACCTGATTGGAAAATCAACCATTTTGCCAATTCAGTTTAAACATTTCTGTTCCCCTGAAGTACTCAATTATGTACAATATAATTATGTATACAATGTATTTAGTATTTAATAAATTTTGAGGCAATAATAACATATAAAACATAGTGCCTTGTCTTTACCTTTAAGGAAATAATTTATTCTACACATACTTCTACACTATGAGCAGGAGCTTGTGTGCTACACTCGGGATCCCACAATAAATAATACAGACTTTCTAGTGTCAAGCCATTTGTAGATTAGTTGATGAAGAGAAATATAAACAACTAATGTCCATAAATTAAGTATAGGAAATATTCTGTATTATACAATATATAAGTTTTTCTAGAACATAGAATCTATATCTATCTAAATCAATAATGTGGAACTTCCCTTGTGAAGGCCACAATTATATGAGTATTTTTCACCCTTTGTCTCTAGCAGGTAACTATACATAAAAGAAATCCATAAATTTTTGTGAAATGTGTATTAGGGCATGCGAATAGAAACGAAATGGATTTTTTCAGAAGGAAAGTAGTTTATATGCACAACTAATGAAAACCTAGTAAGATATATTCTTAAGTCAAAATAAGAAAGAATTCTTTGGGGATAGGAAGAGTATATTTCTGCTGATGCACTCATATCTCCATTAAGTCACATCTGCTTTTAGAAACTGGCAATATTAATACCATATTCAGTTAACCTAACTTTCATGAGGTCTTCAAGTCCCTTCTGGGGACCAAGTGAGAAAGACTTAGTTGCTCATGCTCAGGTTCTTGAATACTGTGTTGACAACTTAAAAAGGTTACAATGGTTACATCCTGGTAAGTATAGCCTGGGGAAGTGGGATAGTCTGCAAAGCTTCCCATCTGAGAGGAAGGTGACACCACCTGAGGAAAGGGATAAATATTCTGTGAAGTGTCACAGAACAAATGAAGCCAAAGGGAGGCAGATCAATAGTTGCAAAGAGGAACTCACTGAGAAGAACTCAGTTTCTCTAAAACTCATAGCTCATTGATTGTAGTAATCATTGCCCTATGTACATATCAAAACGTGTTGTACACCTTAGATATATACAGTAAAAATTATAAAAGACAATAAATACACATGTATAAAAGAAAATTCTAAAAGTGCTACTTGTTTGCCATTTTGAGAACAGTGTTATTTCAGTGAATGGATGCTGTGACCACAAGGTAATATATATAGTGAGGTGTTTACACACATGTATCAAAAACAACATAAACAAAAATTCATAGCCAACATTATGACAGACAGATCAATACCTGGTGCCTGAAAGCAGAAAGGACAAATTCCAATTTGTGTAGCTCCTGACCATACATTTGTTAGGACTTTTTGTAGAATGTATATGTTTCCTATAACTCAGGCAACTATTTAGGTGGCAAATGTGTCTGGAAATTATAAAAGTTAGGAGGAGCTACAATATTTCCATAGTTCTAACACAGGAAGTCTATTTTACATTCTAGAGTCTCTAGTCAGGATGCTCCATTGACTAATTTCATAGGACACAATTCATTTCTACTTTAATGTAGGTCTTATAGCTTTATTTAGACAGATGTGATAAGGGGAAAGCTCCAAATGACTCAGTAATATAGAGATCCCACCAACACCCCTGTGTCTATTTATACGTATATTAACTTTCAGTACAGAGAAAAGTGCTAAAGAGCAGAGATTGTAATCACCAGGGCATGATCATGTAGTCACTTGTTTCTAAGGGTTTATTAAAATATATGGGTTATCTCCCCCAAAATCAAGTCAGTGTTTGTGATCTGTATAACCTTTTATACATAGGCTGCAATGACTTCATGTTGCCCAGTCTTGGACCTCTAAAACCACTCCCAAGCAGACTTATAGGAGAATAAATCTTGAGACAAATCTAAATACCCATTCATTTAAAAGGCTAAGGATATAATGGGATTCTAGATCACTATGAAAGGGGCGGGGGCTTGGCAACAGATAGTATCCTCAAACTAAGCAGTTGAAGAAATTTTAATAAAAGGACTATTTAAAACGTGTGGATAAAATTTTGAAAAACCAACAAGCAATAGTTCAGTAACCTGAGGCTTGAAAAGGAGGGATGGGAGCCAGGCGCAGTGGCTCACGCCTGTAGTTTCAGCACTTTTGGGAGGCCGAGGCGGGAGGGACACTTGAGGCCAGGCATTTAAGACCAGCCTGGCCAACATGGTGAAACTCCGTCTCTACTAAAAATACAAAAAATTAGCCAGGCCTGGTGGTGCCTGCCCGTAGTCCCGACTGCTTGGGAGGCTGAGACATGAGAATCGCTTGAACCCGGGAGGCAGAGGTTGCAGTCAGCTTAGATTGCTCCAGTGCACACCAGCCTGGGTAACACAGTGAAACTGTGTCAAAAAAAAAAAGAAAAGAAAGGAAAAGGAGGCACGAGGACCTAGGAGGCCTTTACCAAAAGCTACTCTGATGGGATAAGGGGAAGGGAACTTTACCTATATAGAGAGAGGATAGCTTGGAGGGGGTAACTCCATGGTAGCTGTGGCCTTCAGCAGAGATGCAGCCAAACCACAATGCCCAGAGAGGAGGGACCTGGGGAGTAAATGTCTCCACGCACCCATCCTCCTCCTTTCCTCTAGATCTCCTGTTATTGCCTCTGTGTGACTGAATCCAACCAGCAGAGGGAAAGGGAGCTTTTCAAGGCAGTCTGTACAGATCAGCATCCTGGGGCACCATTGTGAGAAGAAAAGGATGGAAAGTAGACCTTGAGGAAAGATTCAGCACAAAGTGTTTTCCAAAGTATGTTCCAAAGAATACTACTTCAGCAAAATGAGTCCCCATGCAAAAGGCCTAAGAGCACATGAGTTTAGGGAAATGCCACATAATGTAACCCCTATGTGTCCATATACTTTGTGCCGGGCAGTTTTTGAAAGACAGCAGATACAGCACTAAGAAAAATAATGACTGTCTATACCTTGATGAAACTTACAGTTTACTGGGAGACACATGTGGATTATTTCATGACTGAATAACACAAACTTAAAGACCAGTGCTATGAAGAATTTTAAAAGCTTATTTTTACATTTACATTTATTTGTTTATTTATTTTAGAGACAAGGTCTTGCTCTGTGACCCAGGCTGGAGTGCAGTGGTGCTATGATGGCTTACTGCAGCCTTAACCTCCTGGCTTTAAGCTATCTTCCTGCCTCAGCCTCCTGAGTAGGTGGGAATACAGGTGTGCACCACCACACCCAGCTAAATGTTTCTGGAGAGACAGAGTCTCACTATGTGTACCAGGCTGGTCTTGAATTCCCGGCATCAAGAGATTTTTTTCCACTTTGGCCTCCTGGTAAGGTTTGGCTGTGTCCCTACCCAAATCTCATCTTGAATTGAAATTCCCATAATCCGCACATATCCTGGGAGGGACCCAGTGGGAGGTAATTGAATCACAGAGGCAGTTTCCCCCATGCTGTGCTTGCGATAGTGAGTGCGTTCTCACAAGATCTGATGGTTTTATAAGGGGCTTTTCCCCTTTTGCTTGGCACTTCTTCTTGCTGGATGTGAAGAAGGATGTGTTTGCCCCACCTTCCCCCATGATTGTAAGTTCCCTGAGGCCTCCCCAGCCCTGAGGAACTTTGAGTCAATTAAACCTCTTTCCTTTATAAATTACCCATTCTCAGGTATTTCTTTATAGCAGCATGAGAAAATACTTGGATTACAGGTGTGAATCACAAAAATTTATTCTTGATATATTAATGTTCCAGAATCCACTATTCTATTAAATATAATTTGGGAAAAATTGATTTAATAAAAATATGATTTTGTAATAGGGAAATTATGACCCTGTCATAATTAATTGAGACATTTAAAAATTTTAATTATATATGGTTTCATTTCAATGTGAAAATAGATAAACCAGATATCATATTAAATAATTTGAGCAATTAATAGGACCTATATTAAGAATAAGCTATAAACTCAAGCCCAAAATTAATTACAATGTGAAAATCCACAAAATAAAAAAGTGAAAAATGTAAATTAAAATTTTAAATTACGAGTGACAGAAAATTAAAGAATACGATATTCCATGAAATTTGGGCCAGAGTTCAAATTTTGGTTATTGCTCTAATCTTACAAACCTGGTGTCCTTGGATTCGAACATAAAGCTAAACTGGAATAGTTTAAAGCATTTTTTTTTACATTTGTCTCATCCCTTTATTAGATTATTATATATTATTCTCTAGGGTTTCTTGCTTTTCCTCAAAAGTGGCCATACATTAGTCACTTTCATAACTGCAGTGTCTGGGCCCATATTTTGTCTTGTGAGTTTTTCAAAATATATTTTTCAAATTTAATTAGTTTAATAATTATAATAATAATTTGCAGTAATAATGATTATAACAACAACAACAACAATATATTTAACTTTATTACATGCGTGCTTTGTGCCAGATATTGGTCTAAGCGCTTACGTGGATGATTTCATTAGCCTTCACAACAACCCAATGACATGGATACCATTATTTTCCCTACTCTATAGATTAGAATACTAAGCCATTAAGAGTTTAAATAACTTGCCCACTGGCACACAGGTAAGAAATAGTGGAACTAGGAAATCTAAACCCAGAGCCTAAACAGTTAATCATTTGTGTTATAATTCAAATAATTTTCAGACTAAATCTAATTAATTTAGGCCTATCTAACTAGGTAACAATTTTTGACACCTTCAACCTTAGAAAGCTGGATTATAAAAATATACTAGAGTTCAGTATGTTAGAAAAATGAGGGGATATATGTTAAAGTAATAGAAATAAAGAAGCAGTTGAAATTCAGAAGAGAAAAATTAAATACAAGTGAAGTAAATATCTTTGCAGTTCATAAGAAGAGGAAGGTATGGATATTATATTCAATAGAATTTAGAGGCAATTGTGGGATAAATTACACTGGAGCATTATAAGTGAAGGCAATGCTTTTTTTATATCTTATGCTATGACATTTACAGAAAAATAAAAATTTTAGTGGCATACTAGTATTTTTACATAAAATAAATACAAAAGCCTAGTTAAGACATAAAAATTCCATGTACCACCAGAGATGAGGGAAGCATATTTAATTCATGTACTTTCAAATGTGAGTACCATGGGGACATTTTTATCTGAGAGTATTTTTCTTCTACGATGCATAAGTTTATACATACTCTATCGTGGCTATATCAGCCATTTTAAAAAATAATTATCCAACCTTAAAGTTTAAACACTTTTATTCACTTAATTATGCCATTAAAATTAAAAGGTTTATGTAGAATTAAAATAAATCTTAAATAATCCTCTGAAGAGCTTTCACCAAATGTAGGTAGCTTCTACCAGCTTAAATATATTTACCACTGACTATTCTAAAAAGTAAAAAAGGTAACACAATAAAATGCCAGAGAATAATTGAAGCTATATGATAAACTTAAAGCAATATACTATTTAGCTCCATGTACACTGCCACCACAGAGCAAGGCTCACTAGAGGGTCTTTGTTGATGACTATGGTGATTATGATGGTGTTGACTCTTCCCTTCAACCTTGCACAATCTGGTTGTTACACAAATCACTAAGAAAGTATTACTAGTGTAATCTATTTCATTATCTGTATATGCAGAATGAATTAAAATTAATATTCTTCTTTTTTCCTGAAGACACTATTATGTATAGAAAACTATGTACTGTCAAATATTTTCAGTTAAAAATATATAGCATAAAGAGTAGAGACCGTAATGAAAGTGGATTACATAGATACAGAGATGAAATATCATGATAGTGACAGAATGGTGATAGTTTTCATGTTACTATAACCATGGTAGAAGCATAATTAGCAAGCAGAGTTGTCTTTATTATAAAACTGGAGCACTTATTGGTTAAAAATTATTTTACAAAAATTCTTTGTTTGGTCTAGATTAACATAAAAAAGACTAATTTCAATAAATAGACGACTGAAAATCTCCTGAATGGGCCCACTCACTGCCCTACCAAAGCATTGCATGTCTCTGAATTGTGTTTACTTGACGCCAGTAGAAGTTCACCTGTTAAAAATTTCACTTGGTTCTTCTCACTGTGACTCATAAGGACACTGGCTTGGCTAAAACTGGGGGAAGCTACATAGACTGGCTAGGGTGATAGAATGCATGAAATTTTTCTCTGAGGCTTTAGACACATAGAACTAACCAAAGAAAATTGGATTCATCTAGAAAATCAATTGGATAATTCAATCTCAATTGCCCTTTTCCTTAACAGAAATAATTTACCTGTGAACTATCTGGTTATGCAACCTTCTTTATCTTTACAAAATATTTCTATGGTCTCTGTATATCATACTATCTTCTCTGAAAACTAATAACCCTTTTCTTGAATCTCTCTTAAGCACAGAACACTTTGTACACAAGGCCAAGCCATAATGGGTGGTTTGGAGCCATGTTGGAGGCTGAATACTATCTCTGCCATTTAGCTGTCTGGTCTTGTGTAAATACTTAACCTCTCTAAGATTCAGTTTCTTCATCTGAAATTAGGTTACTTATGCCTACTTTCAAGGTTACTGAGAAGATTAAATGAAGTAATGTAAATTACCATTATGTATTAATAATCCATAACAGTCAGTAAAATATTAATTTGTGTACAAAATACTATGACTTTTGTCTATGACATCTTTTCTACCAGAATAAAATCTGAGGACACATCCACATTTTATTTTTCTTTGCGATTCTCACAGCTGCTGGCTCAATGCTGTATACAAAGGTACTCAATAAATGCAAGCTGCCTGAGCATATGAATGGATGAATAATGCAGTATTGGTGTCATTGTTCTGTCTGACTTTGCCTTTCGATACTCAGAGATTTTTGCTGCAGGCCTGGGTGTCATCAGGATCAAGAAGGCAGAGGCAGGCAGAGCACTGCAATTTTTCCTGGGTTGTGTTGGATATTCATGTGCCTCACTGCACAGCAGTCCTGTGCAAAAGACATCTGCTTTGAATAATCTCATTGGATTTTTTAAAAGATATATCACTTAGTAGTATACTGCCAATATAAAACACAAAGCTATATGCATAAAATTTCTAACACTGGTTTTAGCAAACATTTGTTAGAAGAAATAAAGTTTATTTAACTATTCTTCAAATTCTAAGAAGAATCTTATAGAATATTCATTTGTTTTTAAAATTATGATTATATTGAATACTTTTTATAATCTTAGGTAAAAATAGTTAGAAGACATATTATGAATTCAAATAATGTAACATGTGTGCATCTGGGAAAAAACTCAAAGGGAATATTCAAAAATGAATATGCTAGTAGTGAGACTACAGATATTTTTCATACTCTTGTTAAAGAACATTATCAATTATTATAGGAGTCACAGGGGAAGGAGGAGAGGAAGGGCAGAAGAATTTTCAAGTAGAAGCACTTGTGACACCCCCAGAGTGACCTTTATGAAACCCGATGTTTAAATGAAAGTTTTTAGCTCAACTACATTGCAAAGTGAGGTGATAGCCCAAAATGTCAATAATTTCAAAGACTAAAATGTAAATAATTTCAAAGAATTCCAGAGTTAATAGAAAACATGTAGATCTCTCACCCATTCCAGAGTGTAAACATAGGCAATTGGGGACAGAATCTAAAAAAGAGACTTAGGTTCTTTAGAGTTATTCTGAGTCTCAACCTACCCTTTGCAGAAACACAGTAGACTGGTTTCTGCAAAATCATGCCAAAGGAACCTAATGGGTTAGATGCTGGCTGCCTTGAACTGTGGTAGCTGAGTCAAAAACTGTGTTTTGAGAAATAACTGGATCCTTAGAGCTTCTGGGGAAAAGGAAGATTGGTTTTTCCCTCTGACAAAAGGGCCATTCTTGAAAGGGAGCTGTCTAAGAGCACAACCAAGAGGGGCTAGGCACTTCAGGGGAAGAAAGCTGGAGGTAGACTTCCAGATAGCACAGGGCTTCTAGTGAGGACGGTCAGAGTGGAGTTACATTTCTTTACTTAAGGGAACTGTGGATGAAGCAACGGCGAAGGAACTCCACTGATGCCCCATGAGAGTCAGCTTTAAAATCCTGCCCAATTCAGAAAGGGCAGAGTACCAATGGAGTAAGAACTTTCACACTGTCTTTTATTTTTATTTTTTAATTTAATTTTAATTTTTCGAGAGGGAGTCTTGATCTGTCTCCCAGGCTGGAGAGCAGTGTCACAATCTTGGCTCACTACAAACTCCGCCTACTGGATTCAAGAAATTCTCCCTCCTCAGCCTCTGGAGTAGCAGAGATTACAGGCGCCTGCCACCACGCCCAGCTAATTTTTGTATTTTAGTAGAGACGGGTTTCACCATCTTGGTCAGGCTGGTCTTGAACTCCTGACCTCAAATGCTCTGCCCGCCTCAGCCTCCCAAAGTGCTGGGATTACAGGCTTGAGCCACCACACCCGGCCTGTCCTTTATTTTTATTTGCTGCCCTTGCCACGCCTCCAACCCTGAAAGGATTAACTGAATGAGAGAGGAGGATCAGTCCATAGATGAGGAAAGAGAGAAGCAACTAAACCAGCCATCTTCTTCCCTGAGTGTTGCTGGCAGCAGGCCTGAGTTTGGGGGTAGGAAAGGAGGAGAAAGCCACAACTGACAGGTGGGTACAGAGGTTTGATTTGTACAGAATGCTGGAAATTGTAAATACTGAACTGTGTTTTGGTTTAATTAATAAACTGTGACTATAGAACTTTAATTACATAAGCATGATAAGAAAAGTCATGGGGCCTACCTAGGATTCTATCCAGCCAAGGTGGGAGGACCACCCTTAATGAGAAAATGTGAAAGTATGGTGGAAACAAAATTAGTGTCGCTTTATGGTTACATCCTAGAATCATTCTGTCAGTGTAATAATTGTGCTACTTAACATACTTGGGTTGGATGTAAATATAAGTATTTATATCACAAATAAGGGTTTTGATCATACACCATTTTTGTTACATAAATTTTTAAAAATTATTTATTCTTATTTTTATTTTTGAGACGGGATCTCACTTAGTCACACAGATTGGAGTGCAGTGGTGTGATCTCAGCTCACTGCAACTTCTGTCTCCCATGTTCATGCGATCCTTTCACCTCAGCCTCCCGAGTAGCTGGTATACCACAGGTGCAGACCACCATGCCCAGCTAACTTTTTTGTAGTTTTGGTAGAGATGGGGTTTCACTATGTTTCCCAGTTTGGTCCCAAACTCCCAAGCTCAGGTGATTCAACTGCCTCGGCCTCCCAAAGTGCTGGTATTACAGGCAAGAGCCACCATGCCCAGCGTATGAACATTTTATTTATTCTGAATTAGGTTAATAGTAAATTCAAAGATATGCTTATTTAGTTTTAGAAATGTGTAACTGAATGGAATGTGATATAAAAGCAAAACTGTGCTATTACTTGAGCTCTTTGTCCTAGCGATGGACTGATAAAATGTCCTTATGGATGATAGTATAAAATTAGTTAATGAATAAGATGCTATTTTATGTTTTTTTCTTATATTTTTAAAATTAAGCCTTTTCGATGGAAGTATAATCTACTCTTAGATTTGAATATCTTTTTATAGAGGACAATCTATCTCCTTTACACGTGACATCATTTTATAACGCAAAGAGTTATATTTTCCTTGTCTTTCCATCTTACAGTCATATTATGTTTGCCTCACTTATATGAATTCAATATCTTCAACATTCACTGATTCTTTTTTTTTTTTTTGAGACGGAGTCTTGCTCTGTCGCCCTGGCTGGAGTGCAGTGGTGCAATCTCTGCTCGCTGCAAGCTCCGCCTCCCGGGTTCACGCCATTCTCCTGCCTCAGCCTCCCCAGTAGCTGGGACTACAGGTGCCCGCCACCACGCCTGGCTAATTTTTTTTGTATTTTTAGTAGAGACAGGGTTTCACCGTGTTAGCCAGGATGGTCTTGATCTCCTGACCTCGTGATCTACCTGCCTCGTCCAGGCCTCCCAAAGTGCTGGGATTACAGGCATGAGCCACTGCACCCAGCCAACATTCACTAATTCTTACACTTGTTGCATTGACATACAATTTATCAACTACTATTGAACAGTGATACTTGGACTTCGGATTATTGAATTTTTCTCTTTGATATACTATATATTTCATAAATTTCAAGTATATGATCAGTGAAATGATATATTAATGTGTGACACCTCAAAGAATTAAGGAACTCACATTGAAAATGTGTACAGCCCTTCAATAAATAAATACATACATACATAACATTGGGGGCTTTAGGAAGCTATATGTTCAACTAAGAGGGGGCATTTCTAATCTAGCTAGGAAACTGAGGAACCATAAATGAAACGATAGACTTCTTGTATCTGTGGGCATGTATAACTGGCAGAGCTCAGAACAATTGTTTGCATACTAGTTTCAAGGGAGGCTGTGCTTTGTAAGCTGGAGAGGCAGATACACTCACCTGAGACTATATCAGAATTGAGAAATATGAAGAAACTGTTCTTTCGAGGAGGTTCCTATGTTTTTGGTAGTGTCCTCTTTTCAGCGGTGTTAGTAGATGCATGGTGGAGTTCCTGGGGCAGAAATGGCATGGATGGCAGTGGCTGTTGCAGTCATGTGAGGACTGTGACTTTTCAAACTTGGTGTTGAGTGTACCAGCGGTAGCAGCCTCATCATCAGGCCAGTTCTGCGGAATGGTTTTGGGTGTTGTTCCTAGAAGCTCAAATATCTTCTGTTCCTAGAAGCTTCTGTTCCTAGAAACTTCTGTTCCTAGAAGGCTCAAATATCTTTTTCAAGCTCCCTGATTATTGTGTGAGCCATTAACTAGATGACTATATCATCCACCAGGACTGTTTCAAGAGTGAAAATAGGATGGCATTGTGCATTATCCTCAAGACAACAACCTTAAAAACAGGAATGACCCAACTGTATAATCACTTTACCTACTGACTTTTAGTAAATTCAGTTTCTGCTTAAATATACCAGCATGTATTCATTTATATAACAAAGAACCTTTAGCAGAACCAAAATGAATTGTGGTATATCCATGGTATAAAATGTTGTATAGACATTACCTAGAATTAATAAGGCTAAAAAGATTTTCTTTGGAGGGATGTCCATGTTGCACTATTCAGTGATAAATGAGCAGAAGTTTATAAGCTCAGGTAGAATAACATAGTGGCTTTTTAGATTCTAACATCCCCCAATTTTCCTCTAAGTTATTTGTAAATAAGGGACATACACACTCAAGACCAGAAAAATTAGCTCCAGATGCCGGTCAGAAGTAGAGGGCTTGGGAAATGCATGGGACCAGAGATAGTGGCCCTGAAAAGTCAGTGCTTCCATGGAATAAAGACACCTATGAAAATGAAGGGGTCCTTAGTGTCTTGAAGGGTGAAAGAAAATAAAAGGACAACTGAAGAGGATAGTTCTATTGAGACAAGACAAAAACAAAGAATTAGAAGATGTTAAACAAAATAAAGTGTCACGTATTTAAAACAAACAAACGAATACACACACACAAAGCTGTCATTTATAGACATAGTAGAGGAAGGAGTCCTTTAAATCAACCACCAAGAAAACCACCTCCTCAGTGTCAGTTCCTCAAAAGTATATGCTGCAATTGCTGGTACAGGAAAATCCACACCAAACAAATCTGACAAAGAAAAGTAAAACCCATCAAAGCAAAACCCAGACGCCACATAAAGATACTCTGAAAATAAATTTAAAAAAAGCTCTTTGCCAGGTGAAACACATCAGTTAAGGCAGGTCAAGAAGCAGAGGAAAAGCAAAACAGAAAACTAAGGTTGAAATTAAGGAAAATTAAACAAAAAATTGCAAATGTGACATAACCAGGTGAATCAGAAATTTTAAAAGTGAAAGCAAATGAACAAAGTGAAATGATATAAAATGTAACTAACTGATCTAAAAGAATATCTCAGAATGTAGCTCAGAAATGACAGAATTATTAGTTACCTACAAAAGAATAATACAAATGAAAATACAGTGAGAAATACACAGAGAATAAATGAGAAACCACAAGAAAATAAAATAGTAGCACTAATAATAATAATACTACTAAACAGAATCAGTGAGAAGGTAATAGATGTAGAAGATAGCAAAGAAGATCCAGCATAAGATTTGTTGTATCTGAAGCAGAAAAACAACCAATGGAACCAAATTAATATTTCAAATTAGAGTTAAAACATGTATTAAATAAGAATACAATATGAAGATTCAAATTTTCCCACTATGTACCTGAGAATATTAAAATAATTTTTTTTTTTTTGAGACAGGGTCTTCCTTTGTCATCCAGGCTGAAATGCAGTGGCAGGTGCATAGCTCAATTGAGGGATTGAGGCTGCAGTGAGCCATGAGCCTGCCACTGCACTCCAGCCTGGGTGGCACATCAGCCTCCCAAAGTGCTGGGATTATAAGTGTGAGCCGCCGCGTTTGGTGACTGAAACAGAATTTTTTACTCTGAGACATGTCATTACTAAGCTTTCATCCCTTCCTTCAGGATAAAGACTAAATCACTTATTTTACATTCCAATTGCTCACTGCTGATATATACAATAGCAATTTAATTACGTATATTAACCTTGTATCCTGTGATCTTGCTATACTCACTTATTAGTTACAAGAGGGATTTTTGGGTCAATTCTTTGGAATTTTCTACATATACATGATGTCATCTATGAATAAAGACTGTTTCATTCTTTATTCCTAATCTTTAAAATGTTTATTTCCTTTACTTATCTATCTTACTAGCTAAGACTTCCTATACAATATTGCTTAAAGGTGATGAGAGATAACATCCCTGTATTTCTCCCAGTCCTGGAAAGAAAGTGTCCTGTGTGGCAACCAGGAGGCACAGTTGAACAGTTGATATGGGGTTAAATTGAGATATACTGAAAGTAGAAAATACATACCAAATTTCAAAGACTTGGTATGAAAAAAAGAAAATAAAAAATATCATGTATAACTTTTTATAACGATTACACGTTGAAATTATATATTAACATAATTTTAGTTGTTAGTTTTTAATGTAGGCTAGTTAACACTTAACATTATATATGTATAACATTATATAATGGCCAGGCACAGTGGTTCATACCTGTAATTCTGGCACTTTGGGAGGCCGAGGTGGGCGGATCACTTGAGACTAGGAGTCTGAGACCAGCCTGGGCAACATGGGAAAACCCCATCTCTACTAAAATTACAAAAATTAGCTGGATGTGGTGGTGCATGCCTGTGGTCCCAGCTACTCGGGAGGCTGGGGCAGGAGGATCACTTGAGCCCAGGAGTTCAAGGCTGCAGTGAGCTGTGATTACACCACCCCACTCCAGTCTGGGCAAAAGAGCAAGACCCTGTCTCAAAGAGAAAAGAAAAGAAAAGGAAATCAAACCAAAAACATAGAGATGTGGCTCTCATTTTATTTTTAGTGGTCAGTGCTGCATCCTACTTCCTGGAAAGTTGATGTGATAGCTCATTTTGGCCTATGAGGACAAAAGTCATATCTTAAGCTTGGATGAACGATGAGCTAGAAGGACATTTGTGCTAACACTTTGAGGAATGGTGCCTTACTGGACTTGCATGAATAAAACTAAAATTCAATTCTATTTGTGTCACATTTATTTTCAACTTTCTGTCATAGAAATATCTCATTTTTATAATTGTGTGTGAATGAATGTATGTGTATATAGGTAGGTAAGTAAAATATATTCACCAAAATCCCATGTTGGTGAAGTGAGCTTTCCTTTTGGGTATTCATGCTTTTTAAAAAAATATGAGCATCAATTCATTTGTTAAAAATGAAGGTCTGAATAGCAATACAAAATCTTAAAAGTTTTGTAAATAACCTCAAAACAATGGGCTCTCCAATTTATTTTAAAACTGAGAACTGTTTAATTACCCGTGATTTAAATGTCATCCTTGACAAACTGAGAGCAGTGTTGATAGCAGGATGGAATGAAATAACAGAACTGTGAAGGTATTTTCGGTATTTATTATAATTCTGACTCAGTTTTCGTTGAACGGATTCCTTTTTAAAAGATTCGAAATCACTTAAAACACTATAATGCTATTTTAACAGTGTTTTCTTAAAGTAGTCTGATAGACAGAAGAGGTCACTATCAAAACTCTACACTGAAACTCATAATGTTAAAAATAAAGGATCTATTATATTTTTTTTCTTAGGGAGAAAAGCCTCTAAAAAGTCACATCAGTATTAATAAAATGTCTAGCATTCAAAAGCCATGCTATATTGAACAATTAATGGGTGTTTATAAAATTTCATGTTTGGAGAAAGTTTGCTTTTTCTGCATGGTAAAATTTATGACCAGATATGTTCAGCACTATAATAAACCTGCTTTAAAATTCCTGCAGAAAATTGACATTCAACCATGTTCTAACAGTTCAGATACTGGCAAGGTCTACAAAGATGCCACTGAAAAATATATATAGTGCATAATTTTCATTTCTTTGCTGTCAGGGTAACATGTGTGCTTCATATGCTTTAGTGAAGTCTAGCAGTACAAATGTGTCAAAAAATCATAAAAATTTGTCTTCTATGACTAACATATAGGATTTAGGACCCTAGTCTTTTGGATATTTATCTCTAAGTAGGAAAAGAAGAATTTATTCTTGGACAAACATATATACTTTATGTTTAACACATTTTCCCTGTGGGATTTAATGAAACAACTTTAGCAGAAGTCACCATGCTCCTTGTCGAGTTTCTTCCCCCATTGCTGTAATAGCCTAAAAAATAGCATAGGACTTTATGTTCAAGGATTTCAAAAATGGTATCCAACAAAAATAAAAAAGGTATTAATTAAACTTATGACCCAGGAAAGGAAATTATCTTCTACTAAATTTGCTTTATAACTCTATTAAGTTGTTTGCCATAGAAGATAAATAAGATGAATTATTGTATTAGTCTGAATTCTTTTACTGCAAGTGGCAGAAACCAAACCCCATTTAGTTGAAGTAAAAATTTAGTAACTCCCATAAATGGGAAGTTGCAGATGGAGGTTGGTATGAGATAGAGCAGATAGGACAAGAGTTCTGTCATTTATTCCTGTGGTTGCTCTGCTTATTTTTTCTTGTCTGTGCTGGACTTTATTTTTCCGGCTCATTTTCTCCACATGGTAGGCAAAATGACCATGGCCATGAAGTGCCACCAGCCTCGAAAGTCCAGTAGAAAGAGTCTATAACTAATAAAATATATGGTCTCATTTGTTCGCTGAAATATGAAGGAATCTGCTATCTCGGTTTGTGATGTTTTAGAGCATGATACCTCTGCAATTAGGCCTTTGCTCTAAAACTGTGATGGAAAAAACAGCAAAGCTCTAATGCCACAGCTTACAGGACAGACTTTCTCAGGAAAAATAGGCAATGTTTTTCAGTTCTTCCCTCTTGGTCTAATGAGCTTCTGCTGAGGCTCATACTTCTTATCAAATTTCTCATATCTTTTGCTTGTGTTATTAAATGTATGATTAGTAAGAAACTACAATATACAAACATATTTGTAGTTATATATTTCTTCTTCTTGGGAAATATATTTACCTAGGTTATCTTCATACAAAAATATATGAGTTATTAAGGGATCCTTCTCTTTCCTTTCTCTTTATTTTGTTCCTACTTTTTCATAATTTTTGTACCCATTCTTGTCTTTTGCCACTTTCTTTTTTCTTTCTCTTTCAAGATTTATTAAAACTAGTCCAGATCATTTATCATTTTTAAAATAGATATTTTCTAGCAAATAGATTGTAAAACATACTTCTATAAAATGAATACTATTTTATACTCTTGTTTTGTTTTTATGTACTATATATATTTTATGATTAAGGATGTGTTAATCTGGAAAAAGCATCACTTGTAGTTAACATTAAATTGCATTTAAGAATGTAACAAATACTTTCATTCATACTTTTTTAAAGTAACTGAAAAAGTCAAATACAGTTTCCAGTCCTTTGTGTTTGGATATCTAAATGTTCATTTTGCATCACTGAATTAGTTCTTATCTTGAGCTCAGTGTGGGAATATTTAACACTCTTGTGGTATGAGATTTTTATATTTTTAAAGCAATATACAATTTAGGTATGGAGGGTAGAGGAGAATAGATATGATAAAATAAATGAATATAAGAAAGAAAATCTTAATTTTTATTCAACTATTTATTTAGAGTAATATTTCCAAAAGCAAAATTCCCATGACCTTTACAGGGGTCTTCAAGGTCAAAACTATTTTCATAGTATTACTAAGATGTTATTTGTCTTCTTCATGCTCATTCTCACATGACTGTATGGTGAAGTGTTTCAGAGGCTGATATATGATAACATCATTGCTCTGATGGCATAGAATGTGTGCTCATACGCTCTCATGTCTTCAAAATTTTTCTAAGGTGGTAGGTAAGGTAGGTAAGGTATAACGTGTATTTTCAGAGATTAACTTGGTTTGTTCTTGGTACTTATACTTTGATCTTCTAGTTAGCCTTAGTTATACTTTTTCTAATCTCTGTATTCTTATATAATCCCCTCAAAAATCATAATTTTGAAATCCTGAAGTTTTCCTTATGCCTATGTTGAAACACAATAATTAATTATTAATTGTATTTTATCTTGTTTTGCAGTATATTTAAATTTTTTCTAAATTTATCTAAAACAGTTATTTTAGAACTTTGAAATATTTTATTTAAATAAAATATTGCCATATATTTGTCTTATGTTGAATAATAGATCATTTACTTAACACAAGGGAGATTAGAAGACTCACTTTATCAACATGTAACTGCGCCAGCTACCTCTAAAGATGCTGAAAAAGGCAAAACTTTAACATCAGAGAGATATCAAACTCATAGGAGGGAGAAAATGATTCAAAAGAAACTAGTGAAACTATAAATAAGAAATAAAAATATGATGAAATTTTTATTTCATTTGGGATTATAGATACTAATACTTCATCTTATTGTGTTTTATGCAACAGAATATTTTTGAATAGTGTTATAGTGTCAGTTATGATGTGATGCAATATTGAAATCAAACATTTATAATTTAAGGAAAAAAATTTAATATTTTAAACAGACATGATAAGCTCCTGCTACAGCATTTCAAACTAGAAAAGAACAACTAAAGACTCTTAGAGACTAAGTTATTGTAATGTGTTGGCTGGAGACCTGTACACAATAGTTAAAAGACTAAAAAAAAAAAAAGCTTCGTACAGTTGACATTAATGAATACCTTCTTGATGAAGAGTCAGTAAAAAGAATTACAAAGTTCCACTTTCTGATGATTCAGTAACTCATTGAATTAAAGATTCATCTATGAACATGAAGACTGTCTCACTTGCAGAATTGTAACTACAAATGAGTAAATCTCCAAATGTGGCTGGACTCTATTCAACACCAGCTAATCACTGAATATGATTCTTTATGTAAATGTTTGATAACAAACATAAAAGGAGCAAATAGCTAAAGTGTTAAATAACCTTTTTGACTTTCATGGCTTATCCTGCAACAACTATGTTGACATGTGCACTGATAGTACAAATGCAATGGTAGGTGAACTGCAGGTGCTTCAGTGTAATTCAAGGCATTAGCCAAACACTATACTCACTATACTGTTTTCTTTATCACCATACATTCACAGAAAAATAAGAATTCATTTCCTTTAAGGATGTCCCTGATGATGCAATTAAACCATATTAATTTTGCTACATCTCAAACCTTGAGTATAGACTTTTTAATATACTGTTTGAAAAAACGGGAACCATGTAAAACACTTTGCCGCATACCAAAATACAATAGATGTCTCAAAGAAAAACCTTTGTTTAATTGAGGTGTGAGCAATAGTAGTAGATACTTTTTTTGTGGAACACATTTTTATACCTAAATGAATGGATGACAGAAAACTATGATTATTCAAATTTGAGCATTTGGCAGACATTTCTTCAAGAACTATGTCACTTTATTAAGCGTGTAAAGAGTTCCTCACACCGAAAAGCCTGAGTGTATCGATATTACATTTACCAGTGACTCCTCAGAATTTCTTTGCATGGTTCATAAATTTGCCACATACAAATGAAACTTCTAATCTTTCCATATAAGACTCCTTCATGCACCATCGGTCCTCACACTCACCTCTGCTCATCATATTACCACTTTCTCAAGTTCATGTAGATTTCAAACTAAGTAAAATAAGATACACACAATCAATAACTTGATCTTTTAGCTTTAATAAATAGCCAACAGCACAAAACTATTTTGTTCATGATGATTTATAGACATGAAATGAGAAAACAGCATCAGTGCTCCAACTGATAAACAAGTAAGTGGACCAATATTTGTTTACACAGGATCTTATACTTTCTCAAACAACTCTCTAGAGCCTAACAGCAAAAAGAACAACAATAATTATATGTGGTTGTTAAAGCATTTACTTTAAGAAGAAGGTACAAACAGGGAAAATGACTTCTGTTAGTCATGCCTTTGTTAGTTCTTCAATATCACTGACTCCCTAAAAAGACCTCAGGTGACAGCTGTCTAACTGGTATGTGAGCGGAGTTCCTTTTACAGATCCCCCTCTCATTCCAGTTGGGCTACAGCAGTCTCAAAAGATGTGGAAGTCAGAAAATGATCACTATGTGAAGTTTCGAGTGGTCTTTGTAGAAAAAAATGAATATATTCAATATGATAAAATAAATATTGAAACATGGCAAAATTCACATGACGTTGATCTAGCTTTTAGTATTGTTCTGATAAGGCTATTATCAAACCCGCAAATTGCAATTAAATTTAAACTAGATCCAGCTATGTTTTTTTGCAGCAGAAGCAACTCTAATAATTCTATGGATATGGATGGCAGAAAGTTCTTTTTAAAAAATGTTATTCTATAACAATGCCTCATTAAAATCACATCTAAAAATGATTTGTTGCAATTTTAGAAATCTGGAAGAGAGTAAAATTTTTTGCAGGGGAAGTTTTAGTTTATGAACATCTATTCAAGGGACTGAGATAGAGGCATAGTATATGTCTTCAATGATAATAGTAGGCAAGGATTGCAGGAAGATTGTTCTAACTGTTCACTTAGAATATTCTTATTAACTTGAATAATCCCCTATTTCCTAGAAAACATCATTTTTAGCTGTGTAGTCTGTAACCTGTATGAGAAAAGACCTATGAGGTCTTCAGAGATAAAATGAAGTTATGTAATTAATTGCATATTAACATAGTCATCATTTTACAGTAAAGCAAAATGATGTTTGTGATTGAGAGGAATGGTAGGATGTAGAGGCCACCATCCAACAATTATGGACATGCACTATGTGTCAGAAACTTTTTATGCATTATCTCATTAAATCATCACACAATTGAGGCAATTTGACCATCTGCACCTTTCTTAACTTATCCATGTATTCACTGTGTGACATTTAACAAATTATTAAACTTCTTTGAACCATTGTTTATTTGTTTGAAAATTTGGGAGTAATTTAGAATCACCAGGATGATCAACACTAGTCAACCAGACTACCTAAAAATTAGTAATAATTGAGCAATCTGAAAATAACTTTAAAAAAAGTATATTTAGAATTCTCTACAAGATAAAGCAGAATCTAGGCCCCCTAAATGAGAATAGGATATTATTAAGCAAGATTATTAAAATAAAATTTGAAAATTTTGAGACAAAGTAAACAAATAACTATTAATTTCACAAAAACATTATAAAAATAGGAAGGAAGAACTCTAACTTCGTAGAAAAGGCCACAGAAAATATCAAAAGTATGTTAGGATATGGAAGGCAGATTAAAAGCCCAATTACATCAATAGCATTTAAAGAAAAGTGAATAGTCCAAGATTAATAAGAATACTGAAAATGATGAAGCCTGAAATGTTTCCAGACCTAAAGAAAGTTATGTGACATCATACTGACAGAACAGAATAAATAAAACTGTAAAATCTACATCAAAATAGTTCTTTAAAGTTAATGAGGATGAGAGTACCAACTGAAAAATGAGCAAAGTACATGAACCAAAAGAAGAATAAGTATATGTAATAAACCACTGTCAATCTCACCAGTTTTTAATAAAAAGAGATTAAAACATTATTGAAATAATTTTTAAACTAATTGATAGATTAAAAATATAATTGTGATATCCAATATTTGTGAATGTGTTGGGAAGTTGGTTACTCTCATAGATGTTATTTAGGATGTTATTTCATTCTATCTAATAAAATCTTTGTAAATAATCACATAAGAAAAGAATCTGAAAAGTGTAATATATATGTTCATTGTATTTCCATAATAGGGAATCATTACAAACAATCAAAGTATAACTATGAAGAAATGAATTAAATAAATTACGGCATATCTACATAATTGAAAATAAATTAACATTGAAAACAATCCAAAAGAATATTCACTGACATGATAAAATCATCAGGATACACTACTTAAAAGCAGTTTACAACATCTAATGTATGTATGATACTAATTTGTAATTTATTTAAATACATATGTGTGTATGTGAATCTGTGTGCATGTGGTATGTTCATATATGTATAGCTCTATGTATGTACATTTAAGAATGGGTACCCTATTTTTCAGGAAAATATACTGAGATGGGAAAGGTCAAATTGTTCATACCCTCCTAGAATTGCTTTCATAAAGGACTAGATTTAATAAATAACAATTATTTCTTCCAATGCTCTTATAACTGATGTTATAACTGAGATATTAGCAAATGAACAATTCAAATGTGAACAATTAAAAGATGATACTTGAACATATGTTCTTACTCAGCTATTTTGGATTCTCTATCAACAAGAAATATATTCTCTGGATTAAAAATATTACAGCAGAATGCTTTTAATAAACTCAGAATGGTCTGTGCTTAATCATTTTGCTCAGTCTTCACATATTCAGGATTTATTTCCATTTCTGATTACAAAAAAGGCACTTCTTTTCCCTGATTAAAGGAATAAGAAAGAAAAAGGGAAAAACAGAGGAGGAGGGGATGAGTGGTGAGTTAAAGGACAGATTGAGTGTATGTATTTTAATCTGGCAGTTGTCTTGTGTAATTTTTTTTGCCAAAAGACTGCTAATTTCATACAAAAATTTAAATATTGTAGCAGTCACCCAACTTAAACATTTGGCAAATAGTTATCCTATTTTAAAAATGGAAAATATTTCTCAAGTGCTTCTGTTTTCAAAATACTGTCTCACGCTATTCTTTATGTTTGTTTAATCATTTTTTTGGAGGAAATTCTCCTCTAAATTTGGGATAAGAGTGATATATATATAAATGTATATATATTTATATATATTCACACATACATACACACGTACATTTTTTTCCTATCACATTCAATCAAGACTATCTCAGTTTAATCAATTAGTTAAAGGTGAAAGAGTCTTTTTTTCCTTCCTCCCTCCCTTCCTCCCTTCCTTCCTCTCTCTTTCTCTCTCTTTCTCTCTTTGTCTTTCTCTCTTTCTCTTTGTTTTCTTTTCTTTTCTTTTCTGTCTTTCTTTCCTTCTTTTTTTTCTCTCTCTCTCTCTCTTTTATTTTTTTCTGATGGATTATATCCACAATCTTTTAAAACACATAGGAGTTATACAGAAAGGAACATCGCATTCCTGGGGTGTGAAATACATTTTTAGCAGGAAGACTTGAGAAAAATTGTACAAGTTCTTTTATATTTGCCTAAATTTGAAAAACAAACCAACCAACTAACAAAATAAAAAAAACCACAAAACCCACTTGTCACAGATATAGATGTGAATCGTCCCAAGGGAATATTTGCTAGATTCACAGGGCTTCAGGCACCATATTCTCAATCCCATGAGTGTCTTTTGTTATATCTTCTGTTCTCAAGCTGACATTTGCAGGAGCATTTTTTTTTAATGAAAAATGAAGTTGGAGTGTAAAAGTTACACAATCTGCTCTGCTCCATTTGACCATGTTATTGTCGAATCTAAAATAGTTTCTAGAATTCCTAAGAAAAAGTCTTCTAAAATTCTGACTTTATATACTTAATATGGAATGGTGGACCTGTTTGTTATTTTTCATTTAAACAAATGGACATAGCACTTAGTTTAAGAATAAGGAAAATATTATGTAAAAGTTTACTAAAACTTGGATTCATTATAACTTATGATGTTAGTAAGAGGAAATGATATTATAGATCTGTAAAAAAAAGGCAGTTCGATTTTTTTTTCTACTCAGAATCTCATGCCCTCAACAAAAGATGTAATTTTGAGAAATATCCAAGTAATTTCTCCCAGCACTAAAATATACTATTGTTGATCAATTAGCTCATTTAGAAAGAGCACTAAATTAAGGTAGTATGTTCTCAGACTGTGCTAATAATCTCAAATAGCTATTTCACCAATACTAGTCAGAAGGATGGTTTAGTTCTCATTTATCCCCGCACTAGAATGACAGCTCATCAAAAATATGAACTGACCATAAATCTTTGAAAGAAGAATGATTGCATTCTAATGTAGTAAGGAGCAAATACTCCTCATTTAAGCTTCAGGGATCTTAATTTGCATTGACCATTCCAAGGCTATGGGAGGAATTCCATAATATAGTCCTTTGGTCATGTACTTCTGTAATATTTAGAAAAGCAGACAATTTAACTGCAATCAATTAAGACTGCTGTCTCCTTTCACTCTGACCTTCCCTCTGTCATAGTTGACATTACAGTATGGGCATTTCGGGTGTCTTGCTAGGGAAAAGTTGAGTTGGATACATTCTTTTTTTGTTTAATGGGCATGTTTAAGTAGTTTTCAGTTATTTCTATGTATGGTTAAATTATTGCTAGTTTTTCCAATTTCATGACCCAAAGACATAGAGACCAGAGTTCCATTATATGATGATATAAACATGTTCTAGGCACCCAGTACCAAAATTATGTGGGTAATAGAAGACAGAAAAAATGTTTTATATGCATGGGAGACTCTAGTCTCTAGAAAAATCTTTTAAATTGTATACAAAAGACTCATATACAAGAAGCAGTTGATAAAGTTTTTCTGTAATGTGACAGGAATCCTAAAAAGTCATATAATGATACCAATAATGTTAACTGAATTATAATTTTCTATGATATTAATAATAATAAACAATCTATCAGACATTCTAAGGAAAGTAGTATCTTTCCGTCTCTCTATAGTAAATATTATAAAATTCTATTTATGTGAAGAAACAAAGAGCTTACATCTTAACAATTTTTAAAATGCATTACAGAGGTAGATTCAGAAATTATTTAATAAAAATAACTATGTTATTTATCGGAATATTTTGTTGTAGGGATATTTTTCAGCTTTTTGACTTTTGTGATTTCACTTTAAATTAATATTTTCTTTTACACCTGATATGGTTTGGCCCTGTGTCCCCACCCAAAGCTCATCTTGAATTGTAATCCCCATGTGTTGAGGGAGGGACCTGGTGGAAGGTGACTAGATCATGGCGGCTGTTTTCCTCATGCTGTTCTCATGATAATGAGAGAGTTCTTACAAGATTTGACGGTTTAAAAGTGGCAATTTCTCTTGCGCACCCTCTCTCCCTCCTCTGACACCTGTGAAGAAGGGACTTGATTCTCCTTCACCTTCTGCCATGATTGTGAGCTTCCTGAAGCCTCCCCAGCCATGCACAACTGTGAGTCAGTTAAATCTCTTTTATTTATAAATTACTCAGTCTCGGTTAGTAACTTTATAGCAGTGTGAGACCAAACTAACACAACATCTAATTTTGTAATTATAATTTTGTATTCATTTTCCTAAAAAGGATTGTAAAATGTTATGATCTTTGGATCACACAGAAACTAGATTCTTCTTGAACATTTTAAGGCAGTATTGACTACTAGATCTGGAAGATAATCTAATAAACTCCAATTTAATGGTTGCAGTTTTCCAGAGGTGCCTCAGATATCACATACAAGGAAGAAACAAATTTAGTGCAACACTCTCTGTTTGTTTACTTTGATTGAATTACAACTCAAGTTTTCTTTTGAAGAAATGCTTTCATGGCTTAAGTAAAGTATGGAAGTACTTGTTCAACAGTCAGCACATGATCAGAAAAAATATGAAAGTACTTGTATTAGTTTTCAATTGCAGCTATAAAAAATTTCCGCAAATAGGAACCAAAACCAATAACCACTTGTTATCACATGGTTTCTGTAGGTTACGAGATACAGTGTGGATTAATTGGTGGCAAAAGACAAATCAAGGTTTAAGTGGCCTACGCTCTTATTTGAAGGTTTTTGAGGGGAATCTGCTTCCAAGGTCATTACATTTATTGGCAGGGTTCAGTTCCATAAGATTGTAAGACTCAAATTCCCATTACTTTGGATGCTGTTGACTAGATGTTGTTCTCAGCTTTTAGAGGCAGCCCACATTCCTTGACTCCTAACTATATCTTCCATGTTCAAAACTAGCAATTGTGGCTAGACTCCATATTTTAAATCTTTTTAACCTCTTCTTCCATCTCATCTCTCTGCTTTTCTCTTCCACCACAGCTCACTGACTGACCCTTCTGTCTTATTTTTCTATATTTAAGTGCTCATGCAATTACACTGGCTCCTTGTGAGTGATCCAGAATAAACTGCATATTCAAAGGTCAGATGAGTATTAACTTTAATTGCATCTGCCAAATCCCTTTGCAGTAATACGTAGATAGGTGTTTAACTGTACAAAGACTTTGAAGTCTTTGGGGAGGAACATTTTTAGAATTCTGCTTACCATAGTACTGATTTAGTCCAAACATTTGATTTTAAAATTTGGGTAGTTTAGGTTAAAGTGGTTTATCGAGGGTTCTATCCACAGTTTTTAAATAATATTAATAGATAAATGAGACTACATTTCCTTTTTTAAGTTTTCTTCTAAAAAAAGGGATACATGTGCAGAACGTGCAGGTTTGTTACGTAGGTATACATGTGCCATAGTGGTTTGCTGCACCTATTGACCTGTCCTCTAAGTTCCCTCCCCTCATCCCCCACCCGCCAACAGGCCCTGGTATGTATTGTTCTCCTCTCTGTGTCCATGTGTTCTCATTGTTCAACTCCTACTTTCCTACTTATGAGTGAGAACATGCAGTGTTTGGTTTTCTGTTTCTGTGTTAGTTTGCTGAGGATGATGGCTTCCAGCTTCATCCATGTCTCTGCAAATGACGTTATCTCATTCCTTTTTATGGCTACATAGTATTCCATGGCATATATGAACCACATTTTCTTTATACAGCCTATCATTGATGGGCATTTGGGTTGGTTCCATGTCTTTGCTATTGTAAATAGTGCTGCAATAAGCATAGGTGTATATGTGTCTTTATAGAAGAATGATTAATATTCTTTTGGGTATATACCCAGGAATGAGATTACTGGGTCAAATGGTATTTCTGGTTCTAGATCCTGGAGGAATTGCCACACTGTCTTCCACAATGGTTCAACTAATTTACATTCCCACCAACAGTGTAAAAGTGTTCCTATTTCTCCACAGACTCACCAGCATCTATTGTTTCCTGACTTTTTAATAATCCCCATTCTGACTGGTGTGAGACGGTATTTCATTGTGGTTTTGATTTGCATTTTTCTGATGATCAGTGATGTTGAGCTCTTTTTCATATGTTTATTGGCTGCATAAATGTCTTCTTTTGAGAAGTGTCTGTTCATATCCTTTGCCCACTTTTTGATGGGGTTGTTTGTTTTTTTCTTTTAAATTTGCTTAAGTTCCTTGTAAATCTGGATGTTAGACACTTGTCAGATGGGTAGGTTGCAAAAATTTTCTCCCATTCTGTAGGTTACCTGTTCACTCTGATGATAGTTTCTCTTGCTTTGCAGAAGCTCTTTAGTTTAGTTAGATCCCATTTGTCAATTTTGGCTTTTGTTGCAATTGCTTTTGGTGTTTTAGTCGTGAAATTTTTGCCCATGTCTATGTCCTGAATGGTATTGCCTAGGTTTTCTTCTAGGGTTTTCATGGTTTTAGGTTTTAGATTTAAATCTTTAATTCATGCTGAGTTATTTTTTGTATAAGGTGTAAGGAAGGGGTCCAGTTTCAGTTTTCCACATATGGTTAAACAGTTTTCCCAGCACCATTTACTGAATAGGAGATCCTTTCCCCATTGCTTGTTTTCGTCAGGTTTGTTGAAGATCAGATGGTTGTAGATGTGTGGTGTTATTTCTGCTCCACTGGGCTGTCTTTTTAGGTACCAGTACCATACTGTTTGGTTACTGTAGCCTAGTAGTATAGTTTGAAGTCAGGTAGTATGATGCCTCTAACTTTGTTCTTTTTGCTTAGGAATGTCTTGGGTATACAGGTCTTCTTTGATTCCATATGAAATTCAAAATAGTTTTTTTCTAATTCTGTGAAGAAGGTCAATGGTTCTTTGATGGGAATAGCATTGAATCTATAAATTACTTTGGCGGTATGGCCATTTTTATGATATTGACTCTTCCTATTCGTGAGAATGGAATATATTCCCGTTTGTTTGTATCTTCTCTTATTTCCTTGAGCTGTGGTTTATAGTTCTTCTTGAAGAGGTCCTTCACATCCCTTGTTAGCTGTTAGCTGTATTCCTAGGTATTTTATTCTCTTTGTAGTGATTGTGAATGGGAGTTCATTCATGATTTGGCTCTCTGCTTGTCTATTGTTGGTTTAAAGGAATGTTTGTGATTTTTGCACATTGATTTTTGTATACTGATACTTTGCTGAAGTTGCTTATCAGTTTAAGGAGTTTTTGGGCTGAGATGATGGGGTTTTCTAAATATAGAGTCATCTTGTCTGCAAACAGACACATTTTGACTTCCTCTCTTCCTATTTGAATACCCTGTATTTCTTTTTTCTTGCCTGATTGCCCTGGCCAGAACTTCAATACCATGTTGAATAGGAATGGTGAGATAGGGCATCCTTGTCTTATGCCGGTTTTCAAAGGGAATGCTTCCAAGTTTTGCCCATTCAATATAATATTGCCTGTGGGTTTGTCATAAATAGCTCTTATTATTTTGAGATATGTTCCATCAATATCTAGTTTATTGAGAGTTGTTAACATGAAGGGATATTAAATTTTATCAAAGGCCTTTTCTGCATCTATTGAGATAATCATGTGGTTTTTGTCATTGGTTCTGTTTATGTGATGGGTTACATTTGTTGATTTGCATATGTTGAACCAGTCTTGCATCCCAGGGATGAAGCTGACTTAATCCAGGTGGATAAGGTTTTTGATGTGCTGCTTGATTTGGTTTGCTAGTATTTTATTGAGGATGTTCACATCAATGTTCATCAGGGATATTGGCCTGACGTTTTTTTGTTGTGTCTCCTCCTGGTTTTGGTATCAAGATGACGCTGGCTTCATAAAATGAGTTAGGGAGGAGTCCCTCCTTTGCAATTGTTTGGAATAGTTTCAGAAGGAATGGTACCAACTCCTCTTTGTATTTCTGGTAGAATTTGTCTGTAAATCTGTCTGGTCCTGAGCTTATTTTGGTTGGTAAGCTATTAATTACTGCCTCAATTTCAGAACTTGTTATTGGTCTACTCAGGGATTTGACTTCTTCCTGGTTTAGTCTTGGGAGGGTGTATGTGTCCAGGAATTTATCAATTTCTTCGAGATTTTCTAGTTTATTTGCATAGAGGTGTTTATAGTATTTTCTAACAGTAGTTTGTGTTTCTGTGGGGTCAGTGGGGATATCCCCTTTATCATTTTGTATTGTGTCTATTTGATTCTTCTCTTTTCTTCTTTATTAGTCTGGCTAGCGGTCTATTTTGTTATTTTTTTAAAAAAAAAAAAAACACCTCCTGGATTCATTGATTTTTTGGAGGGTTTTTTTGTGTCTCTATCTCTTCAATTCTTCTCTGATCTTAGTTATTTCCTGTCTTCTGTTGGATTTTGGATTAGTTTCCTCTTGCCTCTGTTTATCTTTTAATTGTGATGTTAGGGTGTTGAGATCTTTCTAGCTTTCAGATGTGGGCATTTAGTGCTATAAATTTCCCTCTTAACACTGCTTTAGCTCTGTCCCAGAGATTCTAGTACATTGTCTCTTTGTTCTCATTGGTTTCAAATAACTTCTTGATGTCTGCCTTACTTTCATTATTTACCCAGGAGTCATTCAGTATCAGATTGTTCATTTTCCATGAAATTGTGTGGTTTTGAGTGAGTTTCTTAATCCTGAGTTACAAATTGATTTCACTGTGGTTTGAGATACTGTTTGTTATGATTTCTGTTCTTGATTGCATTTGCTGAGGAGTGTTTTACTTTCAATTATGAGGTTGATTATATAATATGTGCCACGTGGCACTGGGAAGAATTTATATTCTGTTGATTTGGGGTAGAGAGCTCTGTAGATCTCTACTAGGTCCACTTGATCCAGAGCTGAGTTCAAGTCGTGAATGTTCTTGTTAATTTTCTATCTCATTGACCTAATACTGGCAGTGGGGTGTTAAAGTCTCCCACTATTATTGCATGGGAGACTAAGTCTCTTTGTCGGTCTCTAAGAACTCGTTTTCTGAATCTGGGTGCTCCTGTGTTGGATGTATATATATTTAGATTAGTTATCTCTTCTTATTGAATTGTTCTGTTTACCAGTATGTAATGTACTTCTTTGTCTTTTTTGACATTTGTTGGTTTAAAGTCTATTTTGTCAGAGACTAAGATTGCAACTTCTGCTTTTTTTTGCTTTCCATTTGCTTGGTAAATTTTCCTCCATCCCTTTATTTTGAGCCTATGTGTGTCTTTGCAAGTGAGATGGCTCTCCTGAATACAGCACACTGATGGGTCTTGACTCTTCATCCAATTTGCCAGTCTGAGTCTTTTAACTGGGGCATTTAGCCCATTTGCATTTAAGGTTAGTATTGTTATATGTGAATTGATCCTGTCATCATGCTGCTATTTGGTTACTTTGCACCCTAGTTGATGCAATTTCTTCATCGTATCATTGGTCTTTATATTTTGGTGTGTTTTTACAGTGGCTGGTACTGGCTTTTCCTTTCCATACTTAGTGCTTCTTTCAGGAGCCCTCATAGGGCAGGCCTGGTGGTAACAAAATCCCTCAGCATTTGCTTGTCTGGAAAAGATTTTATTTCTCCATCACTTATGAAGCTTAGATTGGCTGGATATGAAATTCTGGGTTGAAAATTCTTTTCTTTAAGGTTGTTGAATATTGGTCCCCACTCTCTTCTCACTTGTAGAGTTTCTGCTGAGAAGTCCACTGTTAGTTTGATGGGCTTCCCTTTGTAGGTGACATGGCCTTTCTTTCTGGCTGCCCTTAACAGTTTTTCCTTCATTTTGACCTTGGAGAATATGATGACTATGTGTCTTGGGGTTGATCTTTTCATGGAATAGCTTAATGGTGTTCTCTGTATTTCCTGAATTTACATGTTGGCCTGTCTTGCTAGGTTGGGGAAGTTCTCCTGGATAATGTTTTGAAGTGTGTTTTCCAGCTTGTTTCCATTCTCCCCATCTTTTTCTGGTACTCCAGTCAATCATATGTTCAGTCTTTTTATGAATTCCCATATTTCTTGGAGGCTTTGTTCATTTTTTTTCACTCTTTTTTCTCTAGTCTTGTCTGCATGCCTTATTTCAGCAAGGTGGTGTTGAAACTCTGATATACGTTCTTCTGCTTCATCGAATTGGCTATTGATAGTTGTGTATGCTTTATGAAGTTCTCATGCTGTGTTTTTCAGCTCCATCACATTGCTTATGTTTTTCTCTAAACTGATTATTCTAGTTAGCAATTCCTCTAACCTTTTATCAGGGTTCTTATCTTCTTTGCATTGGGTTAGAACATGTTCCTTTAGCTTAGCGTAGTTTTTATTACCCATCTTCTGAGCCTATTTCTGTCATTTCGTTCATCTGATCCTCCGTGCAGTTCTGTACCCTTAATGTAGAGATGTTGCGATCATTTGAAAAAGAAGAAGCACTCTGGCCTTTTGGATTTTCAGGAGTTTTTTTGTTGATTCTTTCTCATCTTCTTGAGTTTATCTGGTTTTGTTCTTTGAGGATGCTGACTCTCGGATGGGGTTTCTGTGGGGGCTTTTTGTTGTTGTCGTTGATGCTGTTGTTGTTGCTTTCTGCTTGTGTTTTTTACTTTGAATAGTCAGGTCCCTCTTCTGTAGGGCTGCTGAAGTTTGCTAGGGGTTCACTTCAGGCCCTATTCATCTATTAGCTCCTGCAACTGGAGATGTCACTCAAGGAAGCTGGAGAACCACAAAGATGGGTGTCTGCTCCTTCTTCTAAGACCTCTGACCTCGAGGGGCACCAAACTGATGCCAGTAAAATCGCTCCTGTATAGAGTGTCTGACAACCCCTGTTGGAGGGTCTTACCCAGTTGAGTGGCACGAGGAACAGAACCGATTTAACAAAGCACTTTGTACTTTGGTGAAGGGGATATGCCTCACTGGGGGGAAACCCACTTGTCTGGGCTGCCTGGATTCCTCAGAACTAGCAGGAGGAAAGGTTAAGTCTGCTGGTCTGCAGAGACTGTGGCCACCCCTCCCCCAGGGGCTTAGGCCCAGGGAGATCCAGATTCTGTCCCTGAGCCTCTGGCTGGAGTTGGAGATCCTGCAAGAAAGACCCACCCAGTGAGGAAGGATGGGTCAGGGTCAGGCCTGAAGAGGCACTCTGACAGCAGACTGCCACAGCAAGTGTGTTGGGTGGTGGGGGACAAGTCTTGGGACCAAGCCGTCCAGCCTCCCTGGTTCCACCAGGGGAAAAGTGCAGCCTAGAGCTATAGAGATGGATGCCACCCTTCCCCCACCCAAGTAGCTTAGTGTGTTGTTGGGTAGTTGCTAGTCCCACTGCTGGCTGCTGCCCCTCCCACAAGGAGCTTAAACAGCTTAGACAGCAGATGGCCCGAGCTGTGGTGCTGGTCGCCCCTCCACCTGGGAGTTTAGTGGGCTTAAGCAGATCCCAGCTGAGAGGCTGTTGAGAACCTGCTCTTGAGGAAGGTTGTCTTTTGCTTTGTGGTATGCTTAGCATTCCTAGGCTCTGCTCACTACATGCTAATAGCACATCCAACAACTTGTGACAACCAAAAATGTCTCCAGAGATTATAAAATATCCTGTGGAAGGGGTGGGGGCTAGAAGAGAACCACTGATTTATACAGAAAAATGCACAAGCTATAAATTAACAGCATTGATTAATTTTCATGATGTCAGTACAACAGTGTAATGGATACACAGATCAAGAAATAAAACATTGTGAGCATCCCACCAAGTCCTTTCTTGCCCCGTTCACCTTACTACCTCCCATAAAGATAAACACTTTTATGGATTTTAAGACTATAGATTGGTTTTCTGTTTTTGAACTATATATATAAATGGAATTACACAAAATGTGCTTGTGTTGTTTTCAATCAACATTATTCTTTTGAGATCTATTCATGTTGAGCATAATGATAATTCTATTTTTATTGCCATATGTCATAATTTATTTATCTATTTTTCTGTTGAGGGACATTTTGTCTTTCTTAGGTCCATTTGTGGGAATATTTTAACTGAATTCAATTTCCTCTATTCAGATTTTTCACTTCTTGTGTCACTTTTCTTAGATTGATTTTTGAGGAATTTGTATGTTTTATTTAATTTTCCAAGAGTATTGGCAGAACATTTTTCAAAATATTATCTTAGTGGCTTTTAGTTATTGTAGAATCTATAATTATTTTACCCCCTTTCATTTCTGGTATCAGTAAATTGTGCTTTTTCATCTCCCTTGAATAATTATGGGTTATCATTTTACTATTCTTTTCGAAAATCACCATCAGGCAATATATATTTGTTATCTATAACTTCATTTTTTCTCTTATTTTCTCTTCTTATTTATCTTTTTGCTTATTTTGCTGTTCTTTTCCTAACTTTATGATATTATATAATGTATATGAAATCTATACATCACTGAATTTCAACCTTTTTTTAAAAAAAGTTTCTATTATATACTTTTATTGGTTACAGAATTCTCTGTAGGCCAACCTTTAGCTTTATCTTACAAATTTGTTATTTCATATTCATTATAATTAAGCTCAGAGTATTTTTAATTTTCCTCGTAATATATTCTTTAACCATATGACCATTAAATAAAGTGTATTTCCAAATATTTGGGAATATTCTAATTTTTGCCATTTATTATTAACCTTAATTTTGCTGAAATAAGGCAGTATATCTTAATGAATTTGCTAGAATTTTCATTAGATTTTCTTTATATTCTGGCATATATTGGATTTTGGGAAAATTTTGATGTGCAATTGTAAAATGTATGTTCTGTTGTGGTTGGCTGCATTATTTTACAAATATCAGTTACTTAAGATTGATTAATTCTGTTGCTCAGATCTTTTTTCTTATTGACATTTTTTGCCTGGTTTTATCAATATTGAAAGCAATATGGAAGTATTTCACCTAGATTATGAACTTGTCTATTATTCCTTTTAGTTCTGACATGTTTAGCATTATATAATTTTTAGCTATGTTTTTAACTACATATACATTTACAATGGTTATATTTGCTGGGCAAACTGACCTTCTAGTCATTATGAAATTATCATCTTTATATCTGGCAATACTTTTTAAGTCTATTTTTTTCTGACATTAACACATCAGCAAGAGTTTTATTTTGATTTGTGATTCATTTTTTCTCTGTACTTTTATTTCAATGTTTCCTCATTCTTATATTTGTTATAGATCTCTTGGAACATTGTATAATTAGACTTTCTATTTTAATTGAGTCTGAAGTTTTTGTGTTTTAATTTGAATATTTAACCTGTTTACATTTAGTGTAATTATTGACATATTTGGTTTTATATCTCGAACTCACTATTTATTTTACATTTATCCATCTATTTATAGTCTCTTTTCTTGTTTTATAATTTTTTATTTTCTTTCCCTTTAGCATGTTAAATTATTTCACTACAGATTATAATGCATCAATTATACATTATTGTCCATTTTACATTGGAACTTATACTGTGTATCAAAAAATATAACAAAATTTATAACAGAAAAATAACAAAAACATTAATTACATTAATGTCCATTTTACATTAGAACTTATACTATGTATCAAAAAAATAACAAAATTAGAATATATTAATTCTAATTTCAGTGTTTGTGTTCTTGTTATATGAATTTTAATTCTTCACATAATTTGGACCCAATACATTATTAAAAGTATTATTTTGTATAGTCAATTTCTATGCATATTTACTCATTTACTAACTTTATACATTGCTTTTCATTTTTTTGTGTATTTCCATGCTTCTTTCCAGCACTATTTCTCTTATGCTTACAGATCTTCACTAAGCTTATTTTTGTGTATGTGTGTGTGTGGTGGTGGTGGGTGGGTGGGTGGGGGTTCTGGTGACAAATTTTCTAAATTTTTGTTTGTCTGGCGAAGTCTTTACCTTGATTTCATGTTTAAATGACAGTTTCACTAGGTATAGAATTGTACGTTGGCAGCTATTTTCTCTCAGCACTTTAAAGATGGCATTCCTTTGTCTTCTAGTCTCCATTATTTCTATTAGAATTGAGCTGGCTGTTAGTCTTACTGCAGCTGTTTTGAAGATAATATGTCTTTTTCTCTCCAAGATCTTTGGCTCTTCTACTTTCTTATATCTGCAAATCCTGATTGCCTAAGCAGCTGTGAACTACAATATTGTCTTTCTAGCTTCTTGAGATTCCCAAATATACACTAATTTTTCTGCGTTTTAGTTTTAGTCACCTGAATAGATTATCTGTTTCTTATCCATCACCAAAAAGATTAGCAAATACTGCAGGGGAAAAGATTCTCTTAAAAGATCAGTTTCTTATATTGTAATTCCTTTGTCTTTGAATTAATGGACTCTCAAGTATAGGTTGCCTCTGTAGTTTTCAGGTATCTTTCAATATCTTTTATCTGGACTTTTAGTTGTACTAATTGGAGTGTCTGTTTCTTCAATATTCCTAATACTTAAACTTTTGAATTAAAGAAAGTTTTGTTAATTGAAAAAAATTACTTCTCTTTTTGTTTTTGTTTTGTCTCTGAGACAGAGTTTCACTCTTGTTGCCCAGGCTGGAGTACAATGGTGCGATCTTGGCTCACCGCAACCTCTGCCTCCCGGGTTCAAGTGATTCTCCTACCTCAGCCTCCTGAGTAGCTGGGATTACAGGCATGCGCCACCATGCCTGGCTAATTTTTTGTATTTTTAGTAGAGATGGGGTTTCTCCGTGTAGGTTAGGCTGGTCTTGAACTCCCGACCGCAGGTGATCCGTCTGCCTTAGCCTCCCAAAGTGCTGGGATTACAGGCGTAAGCCACCACACCAAGCCTACTTCTCTTTTTAATTTCCTGAAGCATTTCCAAATTTAGGAGCTTAAGATGTCAGTTGGAGATAATGTAAGTTAGTTGTGAATTATAATGTCTTGTTACATCAAAACTTTAGGGCCTGTAGTACTCATTTGAGGCCAGGCTTTAGAGTGGTTACAAATGCATAATCAAAAGTCTTAAGACAACAAAGATTTATTTCTCAACATGTAAAGTGCAGTGTGTGTTTGTATACCCTCCAGGCTATCTGCAATACATGACTCTGGAAGCTAGGGTGCTCTATGCTGTGATGCTATCAAATCTTCATGGATTTTTCCAGGATCCTCAAAGTATGTGATGATAAAAGGTGAACCACTCACATTTTCTCTTAACTTCTCTGGCAGTGTCATGTAAAACTTGCACTTTCAGCACATTAGCATGAACTACACACATGGTCACAGGCTAACTGCAAGGGAGGTTGGAAAATATAAGGAAGCACATAAAATATTTAGCATTAGTATCTGTGCCAAAGTAATCATCTATTATACGTTGGCAGTAAAATGTTAGTGATAATTCTAATAGATCAGATAAAACAATAATAAATCTATGTGGTCATTTATTTTTAGAGGGAATATTTTTATCAAACAAAGGGACCTGAGAAGACATTTAAATCTTTATTCCCCAAAATGTTGTTTCTCAGATTGCAGATGGAGCATTTATAATCTGATAGATCCATAGCAATTGAATTTCTATAGCAGTAACTTATTCTTAGGCAGGTAGTAAATGTAATACCTGGCTATTCCACTTTCTTAACCTTTTTTTTTTTTTCTTTTAATTTTGGAGAGACAGGGTCTTGCTTTGTTGCCCAGGCTGGTCTCAAACTCTTGGCTTCAAGTGATCCTCTGGCCTCAGCCTCCCAAAGTGCTGGCATTACAGGCATGAGCCACTGTGTCCGGCCCCTTAATTCTTTAATAAGCTAGGGAGAAAAACAATTTGGCATTTTTGATGTTGCTTTTGTATGGAGAACATTGAAGGTGAGTAGAAGTGCAAATTGAGGAAATGACATAAAATTATTTGTAGTCTCCTAAGTAATTTTGAGAAGAATAATTTGAAAACTACTAGTCTAATGAAACACAAATAAATATTTGAAAAGGCAGTGTAGAAACAAATTCTTTTTTATTCAGTTTTATGTGTCATGAGCTTCAGGAGTTGCTAAGTAGCCAAAAACATGCCATTCATAAGTCACCCTTGTGTCTGCAGAAAATTTGAAAAATTAATAAAACAAACAAAAAAACCCACAGAAAAACACACAATAACATGCCATTCATTGAAACATACTAGTGTTTCAAAGATAAGGAAAATGAGAAAAATTAATGTAATCATTCTTATGCTGCAGTAACTTTATGCATAAATAAAGACAATGCTTCATCAAGAGCAGATAGGGCTTGTGACTTTTTTGAAATTGTTTTTCAAATGTTGGTAATAAATTTTTATTAATTTATTCATGCATATATTGATACCACATGACTCCCCTTATGAAGAGAAGAATACTTTTCTAACCCATCTCTTGGTTTAGAGAAGTTTATTTTGAATTATGAGAGAAAAATTATCTAATGTATATATGGATAAAAGGTATGACCTTTGCAATATTAATATCATATTTTAGCCTAAATCTGTTGGACCCATCCAATGCTTCTATTTATATATTGCAATTACGAATATTGTCACCTTTCAGCAAAGGAATGGGGACTATAATATTCTGGAACTTTTCCCAAAGTCCTTTAATGAGTAAATATTTAAGACATACATAGGTGTTTTCTGGGTAACTCAAATTACAGAGCTCATTTGATTTAAAATTTTTCAACCAGTGCATTTCACTTTGTATTAAGTGGATAAAAACACTAATTGCAATCACCTAAATTGGTTAGATAAATATTACTTATTAGAAAAGACTGTTGAAAATGATGCTGTTAGAAAATCTTTGAAAGACTCTATACAAATTATTTACCAAACATGTGTATGTATATGTCTGTGAATGTATATATGTACATATTCATATAAAAGCAAGAGTAAGCATACATACTTTTAAAATAGAGGTATCAGATATAAATAGGTGAGAAATCTAGGAGTTCAAGTTTGCTAACAGAGTTGCAGTTGAATAATTATTTATTTGCAAAGTCTGTATTATGCTCCTCCTCATGTGTGTGCATACAAGTATGTGTTTCCAACTCCCAAAACAAATCTACAAATGTTAAAGATAAGATGATATAAAAACTTTATACATTATTTTATGAAAACTGTGAAAATCTTTTAAGACTCATGAGAATAAATCTCCTGTTAAGATGAGATTGGCACTATAAAATGTAAGGGGATGATCAGGGCTATAATTGAAAAAGTGTAATAAAAGTGACACATCATTTTTTATGCCATAATATAGGATTCTTATATACCCCTACTCCCACAAAAACATAAAACCCACTTAGTTCAGAATATTCTACCATTTCTTAATTGTTACTCTGGTCACATTTCCCACCCTTAATCCTATTCTTTGAATCTTAAAAAAAAATCTGCCGAACACTAATTATTTAACCTTGCCTCCTACCTACTTTCCCTCTTTATTCTGAGGTTTCTTAAGGGCTATAATGAGCTGTCCCCACACAAACAGGCCAAATTAGTGGATAATTACTGCTGGGCCCGTGAATGTTCTCACTCCTCCTTTCTTATAGTTTCACAACATTACCAGAATGGTCTGTCGCCTCCCTACCAATTAGGAACAATTACTACTTTATAACATTAGTGGTGGGAGGCTTATTATGTTCAAGGATATGTAAAAGTAAGGTAAGAGTAGGAGAGAACTGCAAGGCCAAAAGGGGTCACTGTCACATGAGGGATATCAAAAGTTTGATAGTTTTAATTTCATTTTTTTAGGAATACAGCTGCAAAGATTTATATTAACTCTATTAAATGAAAGTGAACATCATATATTGCCGAGGTTGTGTTTTTCTCCTTTTGTTCAGGATATCTCATTTTGATGGCTTGAGTTTTCAAAATCATGGAAATGACTCTACATCCTTCTATGGGAGCAAAAAGGGTTATTTATTTTTTTGGTTTCCTAGTAAACATGTCAACATATCTGTGTGTGTGTGTGTGTGTGTGCATGCTCACACACATGTGGAGAGTATGGTCTTGGCATCTGAATTTAGTTTCTTAAGCTACGTCAAGGATGCCATTGAAAAGTAAGGTACTGTGATTCAGAAGTGTAGGTAACAAACATTCCTTTTCAATCTGTATTTAAATAGGAAATTGTAGATCAAGATAAACCTGCATCGAATCTTCAGAATGAAGTGTTTTGAAAGTTTTTCAAGACTGCTCAATGGGTACTAAATTACAGTTGGATAGGAAGTATAAGTTCCAGTGTTCTATTTCACAGTAGGATGACTATGGTTAACAATATCATATTGTATATTTCAAAATAGCTATAAGAGAAGACTTTGAATGTTCTCACCACAAATAAATGACAAATGCATGAGACTATGAGTATGCTAAATACCTTGGTTTGAATTGTATACAATGTATACATGTATTGAGACATCACACTCTACCCATAAATATGTACAATTATATGCCAATTATAAACAAAAGTTTAAAAATGTTTACTATATATGCAGTTGACTTTTCTCTTTCTGGAGAGATGGAGCATAAAAAACCTGTTCATAAATTCTTTATTTTTTGATGCAATATTCTTATTACTTCTGTAAAACATTTTTTGAGGTTGTGAGTGATATTTATTTGGCAGTAAGAGGAATAGAAATGAAGTCAGGGTTCACCCTGCAGCAAAAATAAATTAATAAAATAAAAGGCTCACGTGGTGTTGTGTATGGGTGCTCTCTTTCATTCAGGGTATATGCCAGAAATTCACTGAAATGTGATGCATGTTAATGCATCTGGCCTTACCATCCCTTTTGACACTTGGTTCCTGTTAAGGCGTCCGCTCCATGGTCAGAGAACACAATCCTAAATCTTTCTTTCGATGGCATCTTAATTAGTCTAGCTGATTCATGCTTCAAAAAAAGGAGCAACATGGAAACCCTCACAGGATGGAGAAGAAACCATCTAACTTGAATATTTATTTCAAGTAAAACAAGAAACTATTCTAGATACCCCTGACAGGAGAAAATTTTTAGATGAAATCGGTAACCAACTTTGACAGTAGTGTCAGAAAGCATGACAATAGAGAGACTGTTATTATTATTATTATTATTATTATGGAATAAAAAGACTACTGTTGTCAAAATTGGAATTGTCATTTTAGCTGAGTGGTAAGAATGAAAAATGCATTTCAGAGAGTTAATAAAGGATTAGCTTGAAAGAAAGTGAAACCTGAGGTTATGAACCACACATATGAAAAGTTTGATAATTAAAAGGAAAAAAAACTTCAAGAGTACTAAATAAAATAATTTTGCAGAATGAGGTTTTGTATATTTGAAGGGAGAAAAGGAGAAACTAAATGAAGAAGGAGAGTAAAGAATTATAAAGGTATGGAATCTAAGGTGTGTATTACCTTCCACAATTGGAACGTGTTTACATACACACATTCTTTTATGCTGGTTAAGAAGTAATAAAAAATGAGAACAATAACAGAAGTATCCTGAGATAAGAGGACATATATTGAGTGGGCTCTTTCTTTTCAGTGAATTAGAAAGCAAAGACTGTGTCTCATTTAGAAAATTGAAGCACATTCTGGAGAAAAAAATGTTGCATAAAGGATGTAGCCTTGACTGACAAGCAACTTAAAAAAACATCAAGATCAATAGTTAACTCTCTGGTTGTCTGGAACTAATAGATAATTCAATTGTTCAATAAAAACATCAAACAGTATGTTCTTTGTAATGCATTGCAAATAATTAGTAGATCGACTGCATTTTTTGATTGTGTGTGTGTGCGTCAAATACCCATGATCACAATATTGTCTCTCTAGATAGAACCAAAGTTGACCGAATCAAATGTTCATTATGTTGTAGTTATTAAACAAGTTCTATACATTACCTAACAATACAATACTTATCTTTTATGGAAACTCAGTTTCATAGAGACTCCAAGTTTCCATTTCCGCCAACATTTAATCTTTTAATAGTTCCTCAATATTAAAATGTTTTTATGGTGTTTGTCTCAAAGAAATAAAAACTTATGTTCACACAAAAGCCTAATCATTAATGTTCAGAACAGCTTTATTCATAATAGCCTCAAATGGGAAACAACCCAAACGTCCTCCCATGTGTGAATAAACAGACACATTCATGCCATGGAATACTATTGAGCAATAAAAAGGAGCCACTATTGCTACACCCAATAACTTGGATGGATCTCAAGAGTATTACACTGAATTTAAAAAAAAGTCAATCTCAAATGGTTACGTAGCATGTGATTTCATTTATAATACATTTTTAAATGACATAAAATGCAGAATAGATTAGTGGTTGCTGGGGATTAAGGAGTTAAGGGGGAAAAGATATGGCTATGGCAAAAAATAGTAGCACACGGAGTACTTAGGATGGAACTGTTCTGTATCTTTATTATGGTAATAATCATAGAAATCTACAAATGTGATAATATTATAAAGAACCAAATGCACACACAAACACAAATGAGTGCAGCCAGGCGCAGTGGCACATACCTATAATCCTAGCAATTTGGGAGGCTGAGGCAGGAGGATCACTTGAGCCCAGGAATTAGAGACCAGCCAGAGCAATGGTGAAACTGGTCTCTACAAAAAATTAGCTGGGCATGGTGGTGTGTGCCTTTGGTCTCAGCTAGTGGAGAGGCTGAGGTGGGAGGATTGCTTGAACCCAGGAGGTTGAGGCTGCAGTGAGCCATGATTGCACCACTGAACTCCAGCCTGGGCGGCAGAGTGAGACCCTGTCTCAAAAATAGATAAATAAATAAAAGTGTATGTAAATGTGGTGAGATCTGAATAGGGTTAATGGATTTCATTGACATCAATTTTCAAGTTGTAATACTGTGCTATAGGTATACAAAATATTACCATACAATGATTCACAGACTTTTTCTGTCATATTTCTTACAATATATATAAATCTACAATTATCTCAAATTTAAAAATATTAAAAATAAATATACTGTTCATGTTCAAGAGCAAAAGAGGTAAATTCTAGCTAACAGACTAGACCAAGACTAATGGAGAGAGTGTTATTTGAGCTAGCATTAGAAGTTGAATATGATCTTTGTAAGTGGAGAATCGTGTAGAGCAAAATATTTCAGTAATGAGAACAGGCCAAAGTACTGCATTAGCAATAGTTGTTCATTATTTTAATAATTATTTATTGAGAATTACTAGACGTCATGCATTTTGTGCAGGATATTGAGAATATAAAGTAAGCAAAACTGTATTTCCATGAAAATTGTATATTCCTAGAGTGTATATTCATGGAAATTTCAAATTGTTAGTTTAATATAATCCAGTATTGTACAAATGTATGTAAAATTTTCACTCCAAGTATTATGGAGAACAATATGGAAGAGAACAATTTTCAAAGATGTGCAGTCATGTAGCCAGAGGAACTGGTAATGAATTTAATTTTAATGAAAAAAAGGCATGTAGAATAATAAATACAATTAAATGTCAGAAGTTTATGTTATTGACACATGTTGCCTAGACTGGAGTGCAGTGGCACGATCTCGGTTCACTGCAACCTCTGCCTCCTGGGTTCAGGAAATTCTCGTGCCTTAGCCGGCTGAGTATTGGGGATTACAGGTGTGTGTCACCACACCTGGCTGATTTTTGTATATTTTAGTAGAAATGGGGTTTCACCATGTTGGCCAGGCTGGTCTCAAACTCCTGGCCTCAAGTGATCCGCCTGCCTCAGCTTCCCAAAGGGCTGGGATTAAAGGTGTGAGCCACCATATCTGGCTGAATTCCTGGAACTTCAGTGAAAAGACTGACTGATTTGCCAATCTGCTAACCCAAGTAGAACAGAAACTAATTAAATACCAAGAAGATACTTTGCCACTTTTCATGCTAAAACAGCCAATACTGAAATTGTTTAGATATACAATTTGAATGAACTCTGTGGTCTAAGTTAAATTATCTATGATAAGCCATCAGTTGTCAGTGCTATGCACCTAAATTGGGGAAACAACTGGTATTCAAAAGGACATAAGTCCAATGTCAAGCATGGAGAACCAGGACGGCTGCCTTATCCTTCCTGAGTCCTGCATTCCATGACTCATCATGAAAATGATAAAAATGACCCAAATTAAATACATATTGCTGTGGTAGCTTATAAACTGCTAAAATAGTGTATGACCAATGTTTGGTTTGTCAAACCAATATTCCTGGGAACACAAAGCTTCAGGTACATTCCACAACATGATAGGCCACTTAAACATTTATAGAGGGATATCATTCAGTTGTCATTTTCAACACATGTTTTCTGGTTCTATAAAAGATTTTCCATTCAAGAGAGCTGATGTTATAACAGTAGCTTATTATGCCACTGTGTATTTTCACCAGTTACAGAAAGCTTTTCATGGTTCACTGACTGAGGACAATCAACCCCTTCATAATCCATAACCCAAAGATTGAACTGTCTGAGAACACCAGAGAAAGACTGCTCCTGCCATCCACATTGCAGCAAACCTTCAGGACCTTGAACCTTGGGTTCATAGTCTTACAACTCAGAAGCATCCCTCCACACTCTCAAAACTGGACATCCTTGGGAACCCTTAAGGTAAAGCTAACCAGGGAAGATTTTCTGCCCAGAAGATGGCATCCTTTTCCCCAAGATCACAGAAGCTTTTTCCCAAGATCACAGATCAAGACTTCTCTAGTACCATGAGACTCTTATCTTTGAATTTTTCCCCTTGCTATGCCTCTATAAACAATAGAAGTAAAAATGGAATCTGTTGTGTGCACTCATGGGGTATACTTTTATTTGTGAAGGATGCTGCAGCCATGCAGACTTATACATGGATAACAGATATGGTTTGGCTCTGTGTCCCCACCCAAAACTCATGTTGAATTGTAATCCCCAGTGTTTGTGAGGACTGGTGGGAGGTGATTGGATCATGGTTGTGGTTTCTAATGGTTTAACGTGATCCCTTTAGTACTGTCTTGTGATAGAGTTCTCATGAGGTCTGGTTGTTTAAAAGTGTGTGGAACCTTCCTGTTCACTCTTTCTCCTGCTCTGACAAGTGAAGATGTGACTGCTTTTCCTTCAACTTCTGCCATGATTGTAAATTTCCTGAGGCCTCTTCAGCCATGCTTCCTGTACAACCTGCAGAACTGTGAGTCAATTAAACCACTTTTTTTTTATAAAGTACCCAGTCTCAGGTACTTCTTTATAGCAATACAAGAACGGACTAATACAATAAACTTATGCCTTGATAGATGGAAGATGAAGGCCCAATGTAGGTGAGAAATTTTAATGGTATGTACATTGCTCCATAATCAGTCAGAAAGAACTCCTCTCAACCTACAGTGTGGGTTAAAAGAACATTGCCAGAAGGTCGTCATTCTTCTAGAAGGGCATCATTTGTTAGGTACTTTTTTCCATAGTTAGTAAAGGAGGCAATGATTAGAAATTCATTCCTCACCATAGGCTTCATAGCAGATTCTCCTGTAAGAGCTGTGATTACACAACAGACTTTAAATTATCTCATGAAAGTGATGCTGAATAATAGAATTTCTCTAGATTACTTCCTGGCTAAACAGAGAAGTAACCGTGCAGTTGCTGGCACTTGTTGCCCATGGAGAAATATATCACATTGGGTATTACAGAGATTAAATAGTAGGGGATTAACGAAGAGACTGCTTAGTTAAAGCAAGTAGACTCTTTATCTAGCTCATTCTTTGATCTATTGATTTTAGTTTGTTTGCTTTATGGAGACCCTGGGTAAGAAGCATACTCAAAACTCTTGGTATTATCCTCCTGATAGTCATAATAGTAGTCTCCCTGGTGCACTGTGGTCTCTGAAAAGCTTTACAAGTTTGCATGCAGCCATCTCTAGAGTATCAAGTGGTCTCTCTTCAACTGTAATGACAAGAATGAAAAAATGTGTGACCATGAGGGCACCATAACCATAAATGACATTCTGAGACTGGAAACCCAAAATGATGGTAACTGAGAGTGACACTAAGGCCATAAGTGTTGGTCACACTCTTACCTAAGGAGCATTTGACTAAATGGGGGATATTTTTTAAAGACAATTATTGGAGGCCATTTTTTTGGAACTGAGCTCATGCAGTAGGCCCCAAAAGACCAGATCAAACCAAAATGGAGTCACTTATGCTAAATGTGACATAATCAAACTAAGACTTTAAGGAAACACATAGATCCTAGAAAAGACAGGTTTAGGTTTTTTTTTTTTTTTTTTTTCTGTAAACAGGATGTTCCGGCATAAGGAGATACCCTCTACTGGAACCCTTTTAAAACAATGACCTGAAGTCCTTGTTCCCATCTTACAAAACCCGTAGTTCTATTTTCCAGTGGGTTTCAAGAGCAAATAAGTACAGTTACAATGATGATAGTGCCATCAATCACTGAACTTTTGGTCATCCTCTCAAAATTGAGAGGATGACCAAAAGGAGGGGATTGTTAAATCAAGTTTAGTCTAAAACTGCCTCCTTACATATTTTAAGTTTGGCCTAAAAGTTTCTCTGTACATCATGAATCATAGCCTAAATAGAAGTGTAAACAGACTATACTGTACTCTTGTGCCAATCACTGAATTTTGGTCAATCAAATGTGGCCAACTGTTTAAATTGTGTTCAACTAAGACAAACACCGAGCTATAACCAATACAGCAGTTTCTGTCCCTCGCTTCTGATTTGTGTACATCACTTTCCTTTTTCTGTCCATAAATCTTCTACCACATGGCTGCACCAGAGTCTCTGAGCCTACTCTGGTGTGGGAGGCTGCCTGATTTGCAAATCGTTCTTTGCTCAATTAAACTCTTTAATTGGGCTGAAGTTTTTCTTTTACCATAAGGAAACTTTTTGTATAATTTAAAAATCTTAAAATTATTTTTAATGTTCCTTTGATGTTTGGGTCATTTCCAATTACTAGAGGGTTATGATATGGGAACACATGTTTTAAAAAATTATGGAATGTTTTCAGCTATCAAATGCTAACATCTGATAGTTGTTCAGGATTTATTGCTTCCTAGACTTTCACTAAAATTTAAGGTTATAATTCTGTATATAAAATGTGCTAAAGAAGATGTGTTTTTATTGAGGAAAGGAGTAATTTTATCTAATTCAGAAATTATCTGTTTATTCAAATTATGAATTATGAAAATTTTTGTAATAAAATAAAATGACTGGTTATCAAAAAGAAAAGAATTTAGGACAAAATAGAAAGTCAAAGCATGTCATAGATGGTCCGTGTAAGTCATATGTACATTTATTCCTGTTTCTCTCTGTGTTTATCTTCATGTACATTCAGAGAAAATAGGAACTTGAAAAAGTTTAGTTAATAAAACATTCTTTAAGACAAGATGGAAAATTGGAAAAATTCAACTAATTAACATTGCTCATAATCAAAGCTCCTAATCTTGATAAAGGTAAAATATGAAATAATGTAAAGAAATATGCTGGTGTTTGAAAATTTCTTTTTAGTATAGGTAAGCACAAAGCCAGATTTACCGTGGAAACAAATTTCATAAAGATGCTTTCATTGTTTTGTTTCATACTGTATTTGCTATTCTGCATAGATAGTACTAGCACTAAAATGTTTACTGGTTATGTGCTTGAAGTAAACTTCTTAATTGCACAAAATGTATGTGGTGTTGGAAGACTTAAAGACGTTAATTTATGTATCAGGAACAAAATATTCATCTTTTTTTGTATTTTCTTTTTTAGACTCTGGGTAACACTGTAGCCTCTAAGGTAAACTGAGTAGGAGAAAAATTTGGGGTTAGTTTTCTGTTTAGTTGATTTTGCTTTTAATTTCCATTTGTTTACTCTTTGATCTCCTTTGGGTTTCACTTATATACACATATATAAAACAACTATTTTATTTTTTACTTTCTGCTGGAAGGCTTGTATTTGGTTCCATGAATTGTCATTTGTTTCCTATGCATTTCCAACAACTCATCATTTGCTCTATTTATATAAAATTCCCAAGCTACCTTTGTCAAGCCTCCAAAAAATGATACTACACACCAGCTATTTAAAACTGGATTGGTTTTGCTTACTTCTGATGATCTAGAGAGCTATAAATGCTTTAAGTTTCCTGGAAAAGAAAATAGGCTTATCTTCATAAGTTCTGAACAGAAATAGTACATATATTTTACAGAACAGAAATAGCACACATATTTTATTATTTGGAAAAGTAGGTGAGAGTAGAAATGTTTAAATGCTGTTTATTTCCAAGGTAATTAAATTAAATCAGTAATTTGAATTGGATTCAGATCTTCTCCTTTAGGTAATGAGGAAAAACTGTGTTATGGTTACACTGTTGTAATAATCAGGAAAGATAGGCCTTATCCTAAAGAATATTGTATTCCTATGTGACTGAAGAGAGAGATTGTGTTGCAGAAGAAAACTATAGAATTAGATTAACCATTAATTCATGGGTGGCCACGTTTGGAGCTGTCCACAACACCTCTCTTCATCATAAAGCAGCCAGAGAAATTGATACCAGATTCTTAATAAATAGAAAAGGGGAGACTGAAACCAGCCCAATTGTCCTGTAGAACTGATCTTTACAATTCCTTCTGAATAAACATAGAAATTGACCTTCCCAATATTAAAAATTGAGAAAGTTTCATTTGTGTAATCTGAGTTCCTTTCTCAGGAAAATAGCCATCAGTCCTCCCAGATGGTATCAAAGAACTGAAACTTAGCAAATCACTGAAACTAGACAATAAGTCACCAGGCCCTTCACCTGTCATAATCTTCAACTGATTATCTGCTTCCTGTTGACCAACATGTCTTCCTTATCCCTCCCTAACTGCTGTTTTCCTGCACATAGTTACATTTCTTCACTGCATTATAAACCCCTAATTTCATTCAGTTGAGGAGATATGAGATTGTTCCCCCATCTCATCTGTAGCACCTGATTAAAGCCTTCTTCCCAGGCAATACTCATTGTCTCAGTGATTGGCTTTCTGTGTGGCAAGCAGCAGGGCCTGGAACAAACCCCTGGTGTTTCAGTAATGATGCTACTTCAAAGTGCCTCAGAATATAAACACAATCAAAGTATGGGAAATGTGTGATTGGTTGATATTATGTTTTTGTTACCTGAAGAAATAAATGGCAATGTTATGTAGATACTGGATTTGAAAATTTTAAAAAATTAAAGAAATATATATATATATATATATTTGCACCAGAGTAGGACTAAGAGGGGGAGTTGAGATGGTATCCAATCTCAATTCTCTCTCTTTATGTATATATAAATTTATAATTTAAATAGTTCTTCATAAAATTAATATAATTGATAATTAAAGTAAATAATTATAAAATATGATTTATAAAATTATCTAAATATAATTTCATATTTATATAAATATTTCTCTCTTGCATAAATATAAAATTATATATTTTTTATTTTTGTACACTTCAGTTGAGATTTTGGGATGTCCTTGAAGAACAGGTCATTTTAGAACTAAAATCTACAAGGGATGGAGACCAGCTGTACTTCACTGCTGGTGTAAGAACAGAGGGTGAGGTGAAGGCTCTCGCATGACACAAACTCTAATTGCAGAACTTGGACTCCAGCTCCTGATAGAACAAAGGCCAGTGCTCCTGTTGTCATGCAGCACATAAATTTTATAGTTTCAGGACAAGGGCCTTTTTCCTAAAGTCTAATACCTAGCCCAGTTAGATCCCTGTGCACTATCCAGAATATAATGGGTCTGGTTATACTCTCTCATTTATTTGACAGGTTTTTACCTTTTACTTTAATTATTGATGATTGCCTGAAGTATGCCTGGAATTGTTAAGTACTTTGGAAGCTAAAGTTAGAAAAGCCCCAGTGTCCTCTTTTATAGCCATTTGTTTCCCCAACATAGGCTATACACTGTAGTGAGTGGTTCTTGGTTCAGTCTCAAAATCCTCTAGTTTCCTGCTCTGTGCATATTGATTTGTTTCCAGTTTGTCCCTTGACTGTTCCAAGGATAGTCTATATGCAAAATCCTGCACATAAAACTCATGTATAAGAAAGTGTATTTTTCCCTGAAAAAATTTTCACTTGTTCTGGAAATGGGAAAGGACTTGGGACTGAGAGAAGGGCAGAATTTCCTCCATTCTGGGGGCAGGAAAATGTGAAAGAGGACTCTAGAAGCAAATGTAGCTGAGAGTGGATGCCGCCTCAATTTCCCTTCCTAATCCTACTCTGGTGCTAAAGGCTTAATTTGGGAAAAATAGTTCAGCAGGGCTCACTCCTGCTGCCAGTACTGAGATCCTGGGATCCCTGAGCAGAGGGCAACAGAGGAAAGTGAATGGCTGGGGACTTCACTCACTTTGTCTTGTGACTTTAAGTGGGTAATTATAGAAAAATTTAAAGCAGTAATGGAGGAGAAAAAAATGATTGCTACCATAAATTGTATGTTGCGAACATCATCTGTCTCATAAGAAATTGATCAGTTTGTAATTATATTATTTGGCATTATTATTCTAAGTTCACATGGGAAGAAATTGAAACCTAGGGCTATTAAGCTACTTGCTCAAATTTGCCCAGTAGATATGGGCCAGGGTCAGGGCACGGATTTAGTTTCTTCAATTCCAATCCATGTTCTTAATTCTCCTATTATGCTGCCACCCGAGGAAAGTGGCAACAGGCCTCAATTTCCACAACTGTCAAAGGGGGTGATCGGACTTTAAGTGCTTTAGTGTCTCTAGCACTAATATGCTATCATTTTTCTGGAGACTTACAGCAACATTATTCCCATATAAAACACCTGCAAAAGCTCTATTTGTGAGCTTGCCATCTGTTTTCAGCAGAAAGCTTACATTTATTTCCCCATGGAGTAATGTACTAAGAAATTTTTTTGTAGGTTGGTGTTTATGATAAAGTATTTCATATGATTTTATGTTTTTAATATGTCACATTAAATCTTAAGAAAGTAATGGATAAAAAGAGAACAAATATCTCGTAAGGAGACTAAATTGAATTGCCTTCTGTTCTAGGTTATGCACATGACTAAAAAGAAAACTATGATTGTTATTACAAAACACACGAGAGTCCAAGAATATTTTCAAGCATCTAAATGATGCATGTTAGTGATTACTATAAGACTTAAAAATGGAATAAAGTTTACAAAAGTTTGAATAAATAAGTTGATAAGTAATTTTCAAATTTTCAACCCCACAAATTTTTTACAATATTTATAACACTTCGGTGGTGTTTTTATTTTTACATTCATTTTTAAAATCTAGAATCCACATTTAGAGTATCACAAGTGTTATCATTTTATTTGGTTTAAATGACTTCCTTGGATTTTTTTTATATTCTTCCCTCACTCTACCCGAAATTTTCCAAGAAAAGAAAAAGTTGAATATGGAGCCCAATAGATGCCCAGGCACTACATTTGATGTGTATTATTTTCAATAATAATCAATACTTTTGCTTAGGCAACGAGTTTTACCTGGGTGTAGAAACAGAGCACTGAAGAGCTGCGACTCATCAAGTGAAATCAGATCAACCACTCTGTTCTTCTTTGGGCCATTTAATCCTACTCTGTGCAATCATGTTATCTGCCAACTCTCAGGTAATAACAAAAGCCCTCTGATAGGCCAGGTGCCGTGGCTCACGCCTGTAATCCCAGCACTTCAGGAGGCTGAGGCAGGTGGATCATGAGGTCAGGAGATCAAGACCATCCTGGCTAACATGGTGAAACCCCCTCTCTACTAAAAAATACAAAAAATTAGCTGGGCATGATGGCGGGCACCTGTAGTCCCAGCTACATGGGAGGCTGAGGCAGGAGAATTGTCTGAACCCAGGAGGCAGAGCTTGCAGTAAGCCAAGACAGTGCCATTGCACTCCAGCCTGGGCGACAGAGCCAGACTCCATCTCAAAAAAAAAAAAAAAGTCTTCTGATAACTTTTAGTGACAAATAACCAAACTCTCAGTTCACTGATTAATATATATGGCACCAGTGCTGTCTAATAGAAAATTTTAATATCTGCACTGTCCAATAAAGTAGCTGCAAGTAGTTATTGAGTATTTGAAATCTGGCTAGTGTGACTGATAAACTGGATTTTTAACCTTGTTTAATTTTAATTATTTTAAATTTAAATTTAAGTGGTTGCATGCTGCTAGTGGTTACTGAATTGGCTAGTTTATGTTTAGACCAGAGTGATCTTTAAAACCTCCAAAATTTCAAAAGTCAAACTCATAGAGGCAAACAGCAGAATAGTGGTTGACAGGCGTGGTGGGGAGCACAGAGCAGCTCAGGAAATTTGGTCAAAGGGTACAAACTTTATTATAAGATGAATAATTTCTGGGCATCTAATGTATAGAATAGTGACCTTAGTTACTAATACTGTATTGTTTACTTGAACTTTGTTAAGATAGCAGATTATAAGTGTCCTCAACTCTCACCACACTCCACAATGGTAACTATGGGTGGTGAAGGATATGTTAATTACACTGTGATAGACAATATATAATGTACAAGCATATTAAATCATCATGTGTGTACCTTGATTATATATAATTTTCATTTGTCAATTAAATATTTTAAAATTTAAAAAGAGCCTCTCAGCTGGGTGCAGTGGCTCACGCCTGTATTCCCAGAACTTTGGGAGGCCAAGGTGGGCTGATCACCTGAGGTCAGGAGTTTGAAATCAGCCTGGCCAACATGGCAAAGCCCCATTTCTGCTGTCTCTACTAAAAATACAAAAATTAGCCGGGTGTGGTGACGGGCACCTGTAATCCCAGCTACTCAGGGATGCTGAGGCACGAGAATTGCTTGAACCCAGGAAGCAGAGGTTGCAGTGAGCTGAGATTACGCCACTGCACTCCAGCCTGGACAACAGAGGGAGACTCCATCTTAAAACAAAACAAAACAAAACAAAACAAAAAAAAACAAAGAGCCACTCCTCTCTCACTACAGGACCCTTTGAGCTTGGAAGCCTGTGGCAAGTATGGAGAGTGTGGTCAGATTCTCTTTCATCCTGTCACTTGGCTGGATTCGATCTCCTTTGCACACCACCCAAGAGACTCAGCTTCAGTGATTGGAGTGGTGGGGAGACAAGTACATGAACAAGGACAGACACCAATAGAGTATTGGTTACTTCCAGCTGTGACCAGTATTTATGATGGATTCCTTTGGGATTGATTATGATTCATGTGGCCTCCTATTTTTTTGGAGTGCTATTGGAAACCTTCTGCAGTGGTCCCCAAATTTAAGCAATACTTTTCCTTCAGCTAGCCACTTGTGTTCCTTCTCTCTCCTTTTGCAATCCTGTAGTCTTCCTCTGTCTTTTGTGTGTGTGTTGGCAGGTGTGTGCGTAGGAGGGGTGTTCACCTTGACTCTCCAGGCAATCTTTGTATAGAGGATTTGAGTTGGTTCTGAGCCTATGCTCTCAAACTTCACTGTGGTTCATGAGAAACAGTTATGCACTCTCTTTCCTCTCTCAGGTAAAATGTAGATTTCTGTTCCATTTGTTCACTTCTTCAAGAAAAACATTCAAGCATCCTTGTCCTTATCTCAAATGGAAATGTAGAAAGCTTCTGGAGCTTCCTGACTTTTTTCTTTCTTTTTCATCTCCGCACTGGCGAGTTCATGCAGTTCTCACATATACATATTTTAAAGCATGGAGCCAGCCCTAAGCTCTCAGTACCACAGATGCCCAGGACCAAAAGTCAAACTCATTTATTGTGAGACAGAGGACATCTTACCTCTCCTGGAGGGTAAGGTTGAGATGAAACTGACAGCTCTTTGATGAAACTCTCCCGCTGATATCCAACACCTATTCTTGGCCCCTCCACTTCTTTATAGGTTTGAGGTAAGTGATCAGCTCAGCTAAGGATCTAGGCCACTTTCTTTGCAAGTCCTACTTAAATGATCCAGACCTTCTCTTCAGAATGTTGGAGCAGTTCATATAGTATCTCAAAGGCCTCAGCTGAAACAGAAAGAGAAAAGATCCAATTTAAAATTTTGTTACCTATATATGCAGTTACATCATACATTCTTTATCCTAAGAATTTTCTATGTATTATTTCATAACAACACTATATGGAATATTATTAATATAACCTATTCACAAATGAGGAATCTAGGTAAGATAAACTAGGTAACCTGCCAAGGCCATATAGTTTAGAAAGAAGTGGCAGATCTGGGATTAAAATCTGCAACCCTAATTTTTCTTTTCTTTCTCGAAATTCAATCTGTTGAACTACCTTTCCTAGGTTAGTTATTTTAAGCATCAAATGCTAAAACTTCAAAGAAGTAAGTTGTGTCTGAAGCTGTTAACATGGTGTAATATATGTGTGTGTGTATATATATATGCATTTACATACAGATGGAAAATATGTACATATTTGTACAATTAAATATGCATATATATATTTCCTTTTTTCTAAGTCACAGTCTTTCCTCCTATATTTCCACATATTATAAATGTGAGTCCTTCTTAGAATCAGTGTACACTCTTCCTTAAAAAAATTAGTGCCTCTTTTCTCCAAAAATGTCATAAACACATTAATGTTGTATTTGATAATTTCTTATCTTAGAATCCAAAACATATCAGGATCAATGAATCACTCAAAGAGAGACTCTATGAATACAAGTGTGCATTGACCCATTCTTGATGCAGAAAAAATATCAAGGATCAAGAGGAGATAATTAACATTTAAACACACTCTTACGAGTGTCAGTGGCCAATTGAATGCATTCTTAGGGTTAGATCAATTTAAAAAACAAAAAAACTCTTAAAGGTTTCTTTTGAGATATGTTATCTTTGAACATATAGTTTTGCAGAGTTTGAAAGAGAAAAAATGTAAAACTAGTTCTTGTTAGTGTAAAAGTAGTGTATTCTGCTCATTATCCATTGATTAATTCAACAAATACTGCAGTTAAATGTATGATATTATGCAAGTCAGAACCAATAATCTTAAAGACTGGGCAAGGAAAAAAAAATTCAAGCTTTTCAGTAGGCCTGTCTGAAAATTGATATGCTTAACCAGAAAAGAGACATGTGAACAACTCCTTATAATTTTATATTTATTTTAATATTACCCAAATACAGTTAAAAGTTCATTAATTTTATCTTAACTAGTTGGCTTTAAGAATATAACAATGCAAGACCCCCTTTATTTTAAAGGTGCGGGTACTGTACTATTGCTACAAGCAAAAATAAATCTACATACAACACTTAAAAGTTGATACTATAAACATGTCACGATGTATGAAGCTGATTTCACATCTCTATCATGAGCACATCTTGTTCTATGAGCGTGATAAATTTATTAGGTGTGTGCACATAGAACTTTATAAGTGAAATAATGAAGTGCCTCATTTTACATATAAGATCTAAGGAAGTTACATGATTCTCCTGAGTGCTAGTGCCAGTGGGTAGCAGAACAAAACAGATGCATTTAGGATTCTTTTTACATACACAGAGAGAGCATTTTAAGATACACAGGGAGAGAAATGATTCTTAGTTTCTGGAATATTCTAGATCTATAACCTTATATCACTTATATTATACTTCTGTTGGCAGAATATAACTTAAGTACTTAACATAGCCAAACACATACAAATGCATTTAGATAGTGAACAAAAGGTTGTATTGTGGGAGTGAATATGATTAATGGGTATTTGTAAAGAATCATCTATGCATCAGATGCTTTTACATATGAGAGATACATACATGCTCATCAGCACAAGACAATTATAACTCTCCTCCTCACATTCTTACTTCCCTCCTTCTAGGTCAACTGATACTTATACTAAAATCATTGTTTTTAATCTCCTGATCTAACCAAGCCCCAGCCTTCATTCAGTGTTCTAACCTCTTAGAACACCCAATTAAGGGAGAATTGATTTTCTTCTCCAAGATGGTTCTCTCTGTTTCTCCCATACACAAAATTTACTGTGGGTACATGGGATGTGAGCGTTTTCCTGACATATCTCTTTACTTCCTGAGGTTTGCAGCAGAGAGAGATTTCAGTCTGTTTAGTGAATAGCAGTTGGGGATATAGGGCAATTGGGAGGTAATCACAACTTTTTCTACCACTTTTACTCTGCTGAATATTCTAATTTTCTTTCTAGTCAAAGAAATGGGTAAAATGTAGGCTCTGCAGCAATACTCAAAAATTGTCTTCTGAGATTTGGAGACTTTCTCTAATAAGATGGTGAAGGAGATAAGAGGTTTGTGAGAATTGCACTTGCTTCATATCACATGCTTTCAAAAATTATTTATTCAAAATTGCTAAAAATATAATATCCTTGAATCTAGTTTATATAATTTAGATGTTTTGTCCCCTCCAAAGCTAATGTTAAAAAGTGACCTCCAATATTGGCAGTGGCTCTAGTGGGAGGTGTTTGCATTGTGGGAACAGATTTCTCATAAATGGCTTGGTGGTGTTCTTACAGTAATGAATGAGTTCTCACTCTATGTTCATGTGAGATCTGTTTGTTCTAAAGAGTCTGGTACCTCCCCTCTCTCTCCCTCTTGCTCCGTCTCTTGACATGCTATACACTGGCTACCTCTTGCCTTCTATAGATATAGAAGACCCCAGAAGCAAAGAGAACATTGGGTTGAAGGAACTGAGACACTTTCCTTATTGCTAGATAGCAGAGCTGGTGTCTGAGATGTGGTAGAGAGATTAGCAGTGCTCATACTGTTCAGGGCAATGAAGAACTATCAAAGGGTTCTATGCAAGAGGTGACATGTTCATATTTTCCTTTCAAAATATTACTCTATCTTCATAAAGTGGATGGAGTAATGATAACATTAAGGGAATAGAGACCTACTGTAGTTGCAGTCATCCAAGTGAACTATGATGGGGCCCTGAACAAAATTAGTGATAGCGAGGACGGGGGCCTACAGAATGGATTTGAAAGATCCTTCGGGGTGGAATTAGAAGTATCTTGTAGTTGAAGGGAAGTAAAGTATGTGGGCAAAGGAGCGAAGGATAAAATCAGATGTATGGCTTGTTCAGGAGTTTAGCAGGGAGAAATGCAGGTTTCGGAAAAATGGGAGGTAGTCAGTTAAATTATAGTATATTAAATTTAATGAAACTATGGAACATCTAAGAAGCATGGAGGAGGCAATTCAGTAAATGGGTCTGAACCTTAGGAGAAATATGGGTGACCTTTGTCTAGAATACCCATCTCAGATCTCACTAATTAAAATTCAAATCTTGTATTATCTCTTTAATGCCTGGGTTAACTCCATTTTATGTTTTCCATAGGAGGGATGTTTGTCACAGCTCTTACTATCTTTTTCAATTATTTGTTTTTTCTTATCATAAAGTTAACATCCTCCAGGAAAAGAGAAATATTTGTTTCTCCATCCTGCTCAGTTTCTTGAAGACAGTAACAGTGCCTTCTTTCTTGGGCCATCCTTAATGTTGGGAACAATTCTAGACACATAGTAGGCAACCATAATAAATGTTTATTGAACTGAAAATTTACTGATTAGAGCAAAGATTTGTTTAGTTATATAAGCAATAGAAATTAGGTTGGAGCCAGATTGTTCAGGGTCTTATATGCTAAGTCAAGACTTTGAATTTATCGTTTTCATTTTGACTACCACTCTAATTGTTAATGTGTGAAGGAGTTATTTTATAATGATTTATGTGCAGTTTACTGGACATTTATTCCTATAGTCATGAATGTCAGATATGAATTATGTGTAACCTTGGGAATTACCAAGTTCCATATACTAATGGCTAATGATAAGACAATGCACTGGATTTCTTTTTTCCTTTTTTCTTTCTTTCTTTTTCTTTTCTTTCTTTCTTTTTTTTTTTTTCTAAGCTAATATCACCTTTCTCAGCCTCTTTGAAAAGGGTACAGAAATAAAAGAACCTTGCTATTGCCTTGGTACTCTGGAAAACTAGGCTGTATTTTGGGTTAGCCAATTAATTTATACAAACATATTCTCTCTCTCTCTCTCTCACACACACACACACACACATACACACACACACACATCATACATCTTAATCACTTCATCTATAAAATTGGGTGGTTGGGTTAAATTATACCTAAAATGTAATAGGATTAAACTACTGACTATATCCTTCTGAATCAAATCCTGTTATCTTTTGGTCATATATTAAATTCCCTATGTTTAAACTTGCCTAATAGTAACATACCTGTTCGATAGGCTTTTAAATCAAAAACAAACTGAACTCCTCCAGTAAAATCTTCAGTAAAAGCACTAATTATAATGATTACTTATCAAACTTATAACAGATGTGTTTTAAATGACCTGCTTTGTACTTTTGTTTTAAAAATTCTGTTAATATTATTCTGAGTAAGACAAGGGTTTATAGTTCTAATTGAGAAATTCACAATGATTATGAGGTAATTTGATAGAATGCCAAATGAATATTAATTTTGATGCTTGTGAAATGTATTATTTCCATGTTTAATTGAAAGAATGATAACAGACCATTGTAGCAATCCCATTATTTTAAGTGGCATGCATTATGAATTAATCAAATGGATGATAATAATTTGTTACTATCTACAGCACCACTCTCATATGTAAAACCATAAAATGGTTTCATTTCAGCATTCCTACAATAAAAAGAACTTTAGTAGTCTTTTTGATTATTGAAATAGTTATTGTTTATGTAAACCATACAAAAATGTAAACATAGACAATAATATCAAGTATTTTATTATCACAAGTTCCCAAATTATTTTCAGATTTAGTTTAGAAATGAATATTAGTCTATACTAATACTATGGTATGATATAGCTGTCCAAACAGTAGCACCTGGCCACACTTGAAATGTGGCAAGCATTACTGAAGAACTAAATTTTTAATTTTATTAAATTTAGGCTCTTTTAATTGATTAATTTATCTGGAAATGTAATTAGCTACATATGTCTGGTGGTTACTGTATTGGCCAGCACAGATCCATAGATTTAGAACCATACTGCAAAAATATGTGATCACTATTTTCACAGCATTTGTTTTATATACAATTCTAAAATTCTTAATTTTTAAAAGGAAACTTCAAAAAATAATTTTTTTTCAAGACAGGGTATCACTCTGTTGCCCAGGTTGGATTCCAGTGGCATGATCATGGCTCAGTGCAGTCTCGACTTCTGGGGTTCAAGCGATTCCCCCATCTCAGCCTCCTCAGTGGCTAGGATCACAGGTATACACCACCATACCCAGGTAATTATCATTATTTTTTGTTAGAGATGGGGTCTCCTATGTTGCCCAGGCTAGTCTTTAACTCCTGAGCTCAAACAGTCTCTCTGCCTTGGCCTCCTAAAGTGCTGGGATTATAGGCGTGAGCCACTATGCCCAGCCTTACATATTTTTTCAAGTAATAGAAATGCTTATAAACGGAAATATACATTTTTTAGCTTTTAATTCCATCATGCATTCTTAAAATCCTATGTCTTAACTGGAGTCAGCATCTGAAAGAGGAAGGATATCTTTGATTTATGGTTTTTGTGTTCATTCTCTTTTAGCAGCATTAAGATGTAAATGTACTACATGTTTAGCATGGTCATTTCTTGATATTTAAATACTTTCTCAAGCTTGCTAATTGTTAAAATTAAATACCAGGCCCTCCTCACTCTGGCAAAGTAACTTTAATTCACTTAGAAACACACACACACACACACACACACACAAACACACACACACACTGCTGTTATACTGAGAGTAGTTTACACATTATAGTCAACCGAAGCAGGCTGAAATCCCCTCCAAAACAGAAAGCTGAGTAAATTCCTTCCATGCCATGCCGTTAGATAGCATTCTCAGAAGCTAAAGAACATTGCCAGCTTCCTCCCCACCTAGAATAAAGCACACAATGTATTTTGGTAGTTTATTCCACAAGCAAATGCCTGATTATCCTTTGCAGTTCTGAGAGCCTGAATATCAATGCTGCATAAAGGGTGAAAATGTCTGCTCTTCATATTTTGTTCTTATAAAATAACATTTCAAATTATTACCCTTTAAAATTTCCCTAAATGACCACTCAGTACAGCCTCTTCCTTTTGCACCAATAGAGGCAAGAAAGGCTGTGACAGCCTGGGTGTGGCGAAAGAGGATGAAACGTCTAAAGATTGAATCATTCTAATTCCCTAAAGTAGTGAAACTGGGAACAACTCCACAAACAAAAAATGGAAGAGTTCCTAAATCATTGCTTTGATCCTGTTATTCCTTTGCTCAAGAAGTTTCAGTTGCCCCTTCCTTCTTTGCTTAGGACTATGATGTCAAGAATTTTTGATCATGCAATTCCAGTTGAGAAAAAAATATGTATATATTAAACATACATCCAGATGTATAATTCTCTCTAAATTATATATGTGTAGCTACTGGGTGTGTATAGTTAATACTAAGTTTTATTTGTTTATCATATGATTGTTATATTTAGGAAAATAAATGTTAAAAATTTGTTTTTATGATTGCTTCCTCAATGGTTCATCATTTGCAAATAGAAAATAACTCATTTTTTGGAGATGACTGACTCAGAGAATAAACTTTAAACCCCACATCCTTGCTTTCTAGGACCAGAATGAGGGTTCATCTTTTTCTTTCCTGCTAATTTTCCATACTACTTCTCTCCATAATCTCTTTCTACTACACCAACTAGTTTCAGATTCTTTTAGTTTGAATTGAATTTCTTTTGTATAGTTTTTCAACATTTTAATGATTATTATAGCTTTAAGAAAAAAGTATATAGAAAAATTATTGAATATCTTTAATGAATTAATTGTGTTGCAAAGATAATTCAGAGCTCTCCATGAAGTTTACTTGGCTACATTTATGGATATATTTAATGTTCTTCTAAATATGCTCTCTCTTGAGAATTTTGCCTCTGTCCTTCAAAAAATATTGTTTCTTCTTCAGCGATCGTCTTTTTCTCTGTCCTCTCTTTTTCTTCCATTCTTTATTCCTTAATTGAAACATATGCACATCCGTGCAGTTAAAATTTAAAGGTAAACATTCTATTGGTACTTACATAAGCCAGGAGCAATTAAATGCCAACTAGATTGGCTTGGCATAGTCCACATAATAGGATCACAAAAATGTATGCAATAGAAAAAGTAATGTGTGGTATTTTGAAAATATTATCCAATAAACACTATACTGTAAGTTTTGTTTGCTTAACATGTGACATTTACGTTTAGGAAAAGAAATATGAGCTGTTTTTAGATATTTTAGTGATTTAACTTTGAAACAAAAGATTTCCTACTAGAAATAATTTCAATGTTCTTAGGAATCTCTGCAGTCAGCAGTCTGTTGTCCATTGCCTGAAAAACACTGTTTTATATATTTTGCTCAGATTTCTAGTTATTTAAGGTAGGACGGTAAATCTCATTACTGTTTTTCAATCATGGCTGGTAGCAGAAGTCCCTGATTTATTTCTGCATTTATTTTAGTTTAAAAAAAAATGAAGAGAGTAAATCCCAATTCACAAAGAACTGTAGTTATAGAATTATTGTATTAGTCCATTCTCGCACTGCTATAAAGAACTACCTGAGGCTGCGTAATTTATAAAGACAAGAGGTTTAATTGGTGCATGGTTCCACAGGCTGTACATGAAGCATGGCTGGGGAGGCCTCAGGAAACTTAGAATCATGGCTGAGGGTGAGGGAAAAGCAAGCACGTCTTACATGGCTGGAGTGGGAGGAAGACAGCACAGGGGGAGGTGCTACACACTTTTAATCAGCCAGATCTCCTGAGAACTCACTCAATATCACAAGAACAGCAAGGGGGCAATCCTCCCCCATGATCCAATCACCTCCCACCAGGCCCCTTCTCCAACACTGGGGATTACAATTCTACATGAGATTTGGGCAGGGACGCAAATCCAAACCATATCATTTCAGCCCTGGCCCCTCCCACATCTCATGTCCTTCTCATATTGCAAAATACAATCATCCCTTCTCAACAGTCCCCCAAGTCTTAACTCATTTCAGCATTAACTCAAAAGTCCACAGTCCAAAGTCTCATGAGACGAGGCAACTCCCTTTCACCTATTAGAGAGTCAGCCTGTCCTTTGAAGCTTTGAGGCCAGTCATTGACCTCTCTTTTCTGTGAAAGTTCTTGATGGCATTATCTTCTAATTGAAGGCTGTTTTGTCTACATAGAAAATATATTGTTTAATGTAGCTACACTCATCAAAGGTCTTAGCTGGATCTTCTGGATAGGTTGCTGCAATTTCTGTATCAGCACTTGCTTCTTCACTTTGCACTTTCGTGTTTTGGAGATGGCTTCTTTCTTTAAGCCTCATGAACCAACCTCTGCTGGCTTCAAATTTTTCTTCATCAGCTTCCTCATCTCTTTCTTTCAGCATTCATAGAATTGAAGAGAGTTAGAGTCTTATTCTGGATTAGGCTTTGGATTAAGGAAATCTGGCTTGTTTGACCTTCTATCTAGACCATTCAACCTTTCTCCACATCAACAATAGGAGTTTCTCACTTTCTTATCATTGTGTGTTTGCTGGAGGAGCACTTTTAGTTTTCTTCAATAACTTTTCCTTTGCATTCACGAATTGGCTGTTTGGCACAAGGGACCTAGCTTTCGGCCTATCTTGGCTTTTGATATGCCCTCCTCACTAAGCTTAATCATTCATAGCTTTTGCTTTAAAGTGAGAGAGATGAGATTCTTCCTTCCATTTGAATGTTTAGAGGTTACTGTAGGGTTATTAATTAACCCAATTTCCATAATATTGTGTCTCAGGTAATAGGGAGATCTAAGGAGATGGAGAGAAATGGGAATGACCCGTTGGTGGAGCAGTCAGAATACACAGAACATTTATTGATTAAGTTTGCCATCTTATTTGTCCTGTGGGCACAGTTCAGGTGCCCCAGTACAATTACAATACAATTACAAAAATAACATGCAAGATCACTGATGACAGATAACAGTAACAGATATATTAATAATAAAAAAGTTTGAAGTACTGTGGGAATTACCAAAATGTGACACAGAGACAGAAAGTGAGGACATGCTATTAGAAAAAGAGCACTGATAGACTTGCTGGATGCAGAATTTCTATAAACCTTCAATTTGTAAAAAACATAATACAAAGTACAATAAAATAAAGTGCAATAAAATGAGGTATGTCTATATTTTTATATTACATACTAAGCACTTGGTGGGGTGCATGTCACACAGGAAATAGTCATATAGTATTGGGGAATAAATGATCAAAATAATCACATAAAATATACTTATGCTGTTTATTATGGTTTATATTACCTTTACTTTTTCAATATTAGAACTATCACAGACAGAAATTTTGGCCATTTTTCTAAACTGAAAGTACTTGGAAGGGAAAAACATTCCTATTGTATTTTTGAATCATTGAATTTCTGTCTTCACCAGTATATAGAAAGTATTTAGATTGGTGCAAAAGTAATTGTAGTTTTTGCCAATGAAAGTAAGGCCAAAAATTACAATTACTTTTGCACCAACCTAATACATATAAAATATGTTACAATCGAACAGTATCCACGCATCTCACTCTGCAGATGAGGTAACTAGGGCCAGGGAATACAAACTAGTTGTAATTACACTAGGTTGCCTGAGTCCTGTTCCAGCTCCCATTCACTCATTCAGCAAATAATTATGAACTCCCATTTTCTGTCTACTATTTTCAAAGTTAAAATTATTGACGATTCTGTAATGGGTAATTGCTGGTCATGGGTTGATAGTCTGGATTGACCTTTCAAATTTAAAGAAAACACTGTACAGAACTACATTCAGTATCATATTCAGCATGCTGAGTAATTTTGTTTGGGTTGATTAGGTTTAATATTTTAGAATAAAAGAGATTTCTAATGAAGCTTACATTAAGTAAACCCTCCCTAGGTCAAATTTTATTAAGTTTATGTTAATTATGACCTTTATTGGAATACCACCTTATTCTTAAAATAATTATTTTTTAAAAGCATGAGAAAACGGTTTCCAGCAACTTTTTAATATGAAAAGTCTCCATTAATGAAACTTATCTCTTTCTAGATCTTTTTGAGAAAATATGTTTCTTAGAACAAAGATTAACTTAAGTAGTGACAATTAATAAACTAGATGTTAAAAGTGGTGGCCAGAGGCCTTAGAAATGTAAAGAAAACAGTAGAAAAGCTTGTATACCAAAGAAATTAGGAAGCTGCATTGCTCACAGAGGCAACAGCTGGATAGGAATCCAAAGGGAAAGAGGCTTGGTCCTATTATTGGCTACTATTGATCTAATGACTTAATATTTGCTTGGAAATCGATGTCTGGGACTGACCATTGATCTTTTCACTTCACAGTGTATTCTTGAGAGTAATATATGGTTCTTAATCATCTGAGTATTCATAATATCTGGCTCTGCATTAATAAATACACAATTTAATGAATGAATAAATGAATGGATGGACAATAATATGAAAATGCATAGTTTTTTTTCTTATAGGAGCAGTTAAATTTTGAGTCAGCTTCCATTATGTACATACTCAACCTGAATAGTAGTTTCAGTAACACGTTAAAAGTAAATGTTGGCCAGACGCAGTGGCTCATGCCTGTAATCCCAGCACTTTGGGAGGCCAAAGTGATTATTGTATCACTTATTTGTGATTATTGTATCACAGCCTTACAAATATTCAATTATTTGTGTAGATCAAAATGAGAATCAAAGGGGTAACAGCCTTATTTGTAACATTTTAGATTTTTATCAGGAGGAAATATTACTGTATTCCTTATGCAATTAACATCAATTTGAATGCTTTAAAATGAGAATCATTAGCAGAATGGAAAATTATAACAAACCTTCGATGTACAAGAGGAAAAGAGATAGGTTTTAGGTAAATTCTTTATTTTTTCGTAATGAGAGCAAAATTAATTGTTTTAACAATGATTATATCAGGATACAGATGAATAGCACTAAATTCTAAATAGAATTGGGGTGAGACTAACAATGTTATTCTTGGGAACGGACCTAGAGGTAGGCCGGAGATTTCAGTTTCTGTTACTCTGTTACTGTTAATTGTCATTTGAATGCCCCTTCCTCCCCAAATAGGCACATACTTATGTATTCAATTGTGAAACTATTAGTAGTTTTTACATAATCTTAATGAAATACATACTCCTAGAGGTGGCCAAAGAGTTTTGAATTATATGTCTTAACTAATAAACGAAATGAAAACATTTGACACGGCAAAATCCTTTCGTAACATGCAAGTCATCCATGTTTGGGCAAATCTCAGAAAACTGGCATCCAGCTACTTCCACCTACAAAAAGAGACAGAATGAAAAAAAAAAAAAGCTCTGCTGGGCACTGCATTAGCCCGACTCATCCTGAAATAAATATTTATTATCACTGTCCCAAATAATTCTTAAAACTCTGATTCTTAATATATAACTCTTATTAAAAGGCAATCAAAATGAAGTAAAATGATTTAACTCCACCAGCAATGATCCTCTATCTTGTGGTCACTGGTTATTATTCTGGATGTACTATTTATCCAATAGCAGTTTTTAAATCGACTATTATATGCACAGCTTGGGGGCTTGTATGTTTGAGGCTTGAGGGGATGTGGATACTGATGTGTGTGTGTGTGTGTGTGTGTGTGTGTGTGTGTAGCATGGAATTCTACGTATATAGTTCATTAATCTATTTTCTTCAACTTTCTGTTAACAATTCTATCAATCATAATTTAATGCAGATACAAATAATTCCTTTAAAAAATGAGGATCCCAATTTTGAGCGCATGCAATACCAGGGATCCGGCATCTGAACAGGAGGCTTTCTACCATCAGTTTGTTGCTCTCCTGTAATCACTCTACCTCCATCAGCAAGTCTTTTTAGAGAGTCAGTGACCCATTGATAGGTGCACTCATGGTGTACACAGCACTATTGTTTAACACTGTGAAATTCTGCCTGCCAGACGGTGCCACAGGGAAACAGCATCACTGGCAGGTGGCTGGTTTGCCTTGATGTTTCGATACCTATTTCTGGCGAAGATTCTTTCCCCTTTCTATTTTGCTATTTTCTCTCTTACAAAAAGCTGTCTTCCCAAGAGCCTTCCACCAATGTCATGAACCAGAGTTCATTTCTGTCAGTTCTCAGGTTGATTGCCCATCACAGAGTAATGTCCAAACATGAGAAATTGTGATAATTAAACTTCTTTTTTTTTTCTTTGCACAGAATAACTAATTGTAAAAATTGGCAGTCAGCCTGCCATTTGAAAGTGAAGAAAACATCTTGTTTTAACATCTGAGCAGGGATTTTTTTTGTAATCTGTAAACAATTGGACCATATGTAGTGTGATGGGAAACATGAAGGCTGTGATAGAACATCATTGAAGGAACCTTGTGTTTAATCGCTGTTCTTTGATTCACTGAAATAGAAATTAGCTTTTTAAGTTCTGTGTTTTACCACGATTTTAAAGAGACAGTTTTTCTTAAAAGATCAGACCATACTGACAATTTACCAAGTGACGACCGAGAGAGGAAAGGGAATTTCAATTTTTTAAATGTAAATATGTTTTAAAGACACCTAAACAGGTAACAGATGTAGCCATGGGCTTTTACAGCCTTTGTTTTGGCCAGTAATTCACTTCAGGGATACAAAGAATCTTCACACAATATGGTTCAACTCTTAGAAGGTGAATTTTTTTCCTAAATAACTTCTGTTGATGAAACTGAAGTTAAGTAAAATTACCACCACTGATTAAGTTAAAACTTAAAAAAATAAGGTATGCCCTCTCCTAATTTTGCTATATTTTCCAGCTCATTATGTATATAGCAGGACAAATTAACTATGGTGTTAAAAAAAAAGGTGGCTGTTGAAATTCAGAATAACTGTTGAAATCCTTGTATCTTATGATACATAATTATATGTATCATTACCTTATGATACATAATTATATGTATCATTACCTTATGATACATATGGTATATATGGTATTATAGGTACCATGGTTACACTTCTTTACATTCAGTTGATGATACTAAAGAAAAATTACATGACCAAGTGAATTTTGAAATAATTACAAGGGAAACCGTCTGTACCATTGTATAAAAAGGAAAATGTTTGAAGCAGAAACAGAGCTAGATTCTCTGCCTGACTCACCATTAGCTGGACTTCAAGTTTTCTATGACTAACTTTATCTTTCTTTCCGTGCCTTGGTGTCCTTTTCCCTAAAATTAGCTGATTAGATCAGGTCAGTGATTTTTTTTAAAAGAAGAGGAATTGAGACCAATCAGAATCACCTGAAGAACTTTTGCAAAACATTGCTGGGGGAGAATGTCTCATTTCACTTCTATTTTTTCCTTATGTCTCCCCAGAGTCATGCAGGGTGAGCCATTCTTGCCACTGAGAAGTATGTCATATCTGAGAACAACTGACCCAGATAATTGCTCAGTAAGAGTATATTTGAGATTATTGAAGACTTAAAAGCATCTCATTATTAAATGTGCTATATCATGTTTTTCACTTTAGGCTCCAAGTGTTTTTGACTTGATAAAGTTTTGTTGTGTTAATTTTGATCACTTTAATCTTTTATTGGATCATTTTCCCACATTAAATTTAAATAGGAAGAACATATGTACTGCTGTTTTGCCATAAACTCTGATGTGCCTCAACTGGCTTCCAACTTCAGTCTGTTCTGGAAGGCTGTACTTACAGGTCTCAGCCAGCAAGCTGAAACTGACAAAGGAGCGTTCCACTTCTCTGCTGTAAAAGTTGTACTTACCTTGTTTTCATGAAACCAATCTCCGTTTCCAAGGAAACAAGAACAAAAAGGCAGTTGGCAGCTAGCATCTGGGACTTAGAAGAACTCTCACATGTCAATTTCAACTGCTGGCTGCCGGCTCAAACGTAAAGATGTGGGGTATTAAAATCACCTTCAGACTTGTAACGTACAAAAGAATATTAAGGTTTTTTCCTTAGTGTTTAAATAATCAAGTTTAATAGCAAACCATTTAAAATATCCTTTGAAATACTATAACAAATATTATAATTGTTAAAAATTATCTAATACAAAAACTTGTTTTATTTAAAAACAGTAGGCACATATATTGCAGATATTTTCTCAGTTTTACACCATAAATTTTTGCCACTTTTCCCCTTTTACTTAATCATTTCACTTTCTCCTTTTTAAATAATGATTCATATGGTCCCAACTACTTACTCCTTTCTCTTTTCTTTTTTTTTTTTTTTTTTTTTTGATTCATGCAAAATATCCAGATAGTGTCTGTTTTATCCGTAAAGCTTTGTGGCCATGTTTAGTGTTTTAATAAAGTGTTTTAATGATGAAACATGAAAATGCACATTGTCATTTTTCTCTTAAAAATATAATTTCATGATTCTAGGCTTGGACACCTACATTAACACAACCTGCTTCTTCCGAATAGCACTTGTTCGTTTCACATGGGTAGGCACTTCAGAGTTCACTGCAGTCCTCATCATTCCATGCAGTCTCCAGGCCTTCTGTGTCATGGCTTTTAGATACGTTTGAGTTTTTAGACTCCTGCTAAAAGACAAACCTGGTTGGTAGGCAAGATTTGCACAGGAATGGGAAAGATACTTTTTGCCTGGAAAACAGAAACTTGTGGAAATTCTTTAGGCATTTAGATATTCCTATGAAAAGATGAATAATTTTTTTAATACATATATATTATTATACTTTAAGTTCTAGGGTACATGTGCACAACATGCAGGTTTGTTACATATGTATACACGTGCCATGTTGGTGTGCTGCACCCATTAACTCGTCATTTACATTAGGTATATCTCCTAATGCTATCGATGAATAATTTTTAAGAAAATGGAATTTCAAACTGATACTTACACTCTGCCTTGGGTTATATTATTTTATATTATCCTACTATTTAATTACTAGCTTTAAGTTAAAAATGTAGGTCTTTTAGAATTTCCCTCTTTTGAATGTTTTGTCACTTTACAGTATACTAATGTCCTTTGAAATCCAGGATGCCAGTGAATAGATATTAGTAGGTGAAATATTATGAAAAATTATACAGAAAGTAATTTATCAGATTTGTGATGTGGACTTATTTTATTACATTTTATTGGTACCGCATTTGTAATGGGCTCTAAGGATAAATTTGTATAATTTTGGAAACTGTCATGTTAGACTTCTGCAATTAAATATGCTTACTTTTCTACAAAATAGAAATATGATCAATAGTAAGATAATAAACTTAGGAAGGAACATTTTTATTGTAACTTCACCTAATTTCTGTGTTCCCAAATCTGTACTTGTAAAAATCTTTTATTGTATTTTCTTTTCTTGGCACAACATTCCAGTAATTTACATTTCTCACTTGTAAATTCAGATAATGTTTAATATTTTCACATTTTCTGGACTAGGCATATGAGATGCTCATGATCAACATCTTTTGCTACTGTTGGAAAGTCAGCTTAGGGGGACAGGTGCAGTGGCTTATGCCTGTAATCCCAGCACTTTGGGAGGCCGAGGTGGGGGATCATGAGGTCAGGAGATCGAGACCATCCTGGCCACCATGGTGAAACCCTGTCTCTACTAAAAATACAAAAATTAGCTGGGCATGGTGGCTCGCCCCTGTAGTCCCAGCTACTTGGGATGCTGAGGCAGGAGAATCGCTTGAACCTGGGAGGCAGAGGTTGTAATAAGCCGAGATTGCTCCACTGCACTCCAGCCTGGGCAACAAGAGAGAAACTCCGTCTCAAAAAAAAAAAAAAAAAAAGTCAACTTAGGGGAAAAACCATGAGCACTTGCTTGAAAGCCATAATAAAGACTACTCAAGAAGTAGTTGCAAAGAATTGATAATGTTATAAGTGATAAAAATTTATCTCCTAAGTTTGAGAAACCTCCAAAGTTGGAAAATATTGCAAACTTTACTCCAAAATACAGTCAAATTAAAAAATAAAACCAAACCCCAGTATTACCGTTTTTAGATTTTTTAGTTAATATATAAGTCACTTATCATAAAATTCACCACTTAAAAATGTACAATTTATGGTTTCAGTATATTCACAATGTTGTACCACCATCACCTCTAGCTGAAGGAATTTTTTTTTGTCACCCTAAAAAGAAACCCCTCACTCATTATCAGCCACTCTCCATTCCCTTCCTCCATTCTCTGGCAACAGATTTATTTTCTTCCTCTATGTATTTGCCTATTCTGGATGTTTCATGTAAATAAAATTACATAATATGTGACCTTTTGCATTTGGCTTCTTTCCTTAAGCATGATATTTTCAAGGTTCATCCATGTTGCAGCATATAGTATATCAGTACTTTGTTCCTTTTTATGTTACATAAAATTCCATTGCATGAATATAATAAATTATATTTATCCTTTCATCAGTTGATAGCATTTTCTGTTGTTTCTAATTTTTGGCTCTTATGAATAATGTTGATATGAACATTCACGTACATTTTGGTGTGAACATATGTTTTTGATTCTCTTGGGCATACACATAGGATTGGATTGCTGGGCCATATGGTAATTCCAAAATATTATTTTAATTGAAATAATACAAACAAGTTTTTGTAATGTTGGAAATGGGACTGAAGGTAGAAGAGTATACAGTTTTACCCAAAAATTGCTCTTAAAAGCTTATCAATAACAACAAAACACAAGCAAACACCTGTCAAGTATAGTTGTTTGTAGAGTGATGCTTCTCTTTGTTTGTTTCTGTTTGGGTTTTTGTTCCTATTTATATAATAAGATTTTAGTAACAAAGGATTTAGCATCATATATTACTCAGAAATCAGATGTGCTAATTTCAAGTTTTGAAAATATAAAAATATAGGCTCAAAATATTTAGATAAATTAGAAGCAGAGATATTATGAAGCCTAGTAGTCATTATACATTACTATCTAAAGTCAAAGGTCATAATTAACATCTAACATAAGAAGAAAATTAGTTTGTTTAAAATACAGAAACCAAAGGTACAATGTGTTCAGTAAGAAAACACTTCTCATTTTCTTCTGCTACTTATTGTCAACATACACGGTTACTGTGAAAATGCTTCAAATCTGCTATTTCATTGAAATAGAAAATTTAGCCTAGTAATTTTACTGATTTGTTTATTTTTCTGTAATAATAATATGTACCTGAGATTGGAGTTTCAGACTTCTCTCTCTCTCTCTCCCTCTCCCTCTCTCTCTCTCTCTCTCTCTGTGTGTGTGTGTGTGTGTGTGTGTGTGTGTACGGGTATGTTTTAAAGTATGAGTTTATACTTTAGAGCATATATATACACACACATATATGTATGTATATGTGTGCATGTACTCTCTTTTTATAATTAGGAAAAATTTCTTACGTGAATATCTCTGTTCTGTGGTGACATTTACCTGTGCTCAGCAATTTGCTTCCTTTTATATAAAGTTCATTTTTTACAAAAATCTTATTTAATTTAATATTCCCCTCTTGAAAAGGGATGACAATAAAGTCACATACAAAAAAATTAATCCAACTGGCCTTTCTTGTTTTTCTAAAAACTTTTCATTCAAACATTTCTTATTATCATTTATTGCACATAGCATGGATTAATCAAATAAGTTTAAAATAAAATAATAGACTAGAGAAAGGTGCTTTATTTTAAAAACAGAAACAAAAAGAAGGTACGTGGATTATCTGATGCTACATCACACTCTGGGAGAGACTTCCCTTCTTTCAGAGAGCCTCTCATTTCTTAATGTGGATCATTTTGCTCTTTCCCCCTGATAATGCTCACTTACTCTCTTTCATAATCTCCCCCTCTTTCACTTGTTCTTTTCTTTCCAATCATCCAATGATCCATCAAGGTACTTTGGTGTTCAGTGCTTTCTCATATGGTTCAACTCAGATCATGTAGTCTTTCTCACCCAACCAATTCAACTACTGTTTCCTGAGACCCCACTATGTCCTTGACTCTGTAAGGAGTTCCTGAATACAAAAAAAAAAAAAAAAAAAAAAAGAGAGTACTCCAGAAGTGCAAAATAGGATATCATTTTTGCTTTCCCATAAATATAATTTGCTTGTATACCAAAAATGCGGAAAGGTAAGGATATGAGATAATGTCTATTTATAAAGACAAGAAAGTGAGATACACAAACTGGACTAGGGCAAGACACTTTCAAGGGAGATAAAATAGGATAAGTAAGTAACAGAGGGGTAACTATCTTACCATGTCTTAAAGTAAGAGTGGTCCCATTTTACAAAATTTTATAAATTAATACCATAGTAAGGGGATAAGGCACCAAAACTCCCCAAACTTAGACAGATTAAAGAAGGTTACTGCAATGGAAAGTAAGAAAACATCTAATTTGAATTACACCATTATGGAATGTAAGACACTCTGATGGGAAAAAACTGGTCCAGTAAGATCAGAGATAAGTTGGTAGCAAAATGTTTGAGCAGTGGATACAGCAAATGATGATATATGTTCAGCCTTGGCCATTATATAAGTCAAGTTTTGGAGGTCTGAAAAGTCAAATGTCTTACTCAGAGTCACACAGTATATTAAAACACAGTAAAACTAGAACTCAGTTATTAACTTTTGCCTTTTTAATGTGGATGTTTACCCACTCTGTAGTGCATGGGTGAGGCTTGTACATGGTATAAATGGAATACACCCCTTGGGAGATTGTTAGAGAGACATACATGCCAACAGTAAAAGTAGCACTGAGGTCAGGATTTCTTACCCTGAAACCATAAACAAAGACAACAGTTATATAAATACATATGTACTTATATAAGCTTAATAATATATAATGCTATTTGTTGATCATTTCGTAAGCTCCAGGCATTAAATCAATGCATAATATATATTTTCTCATTTAAATCTCACATTAAATTTGTTGGAAATGGAGCTTAAATGAGTGAAGGCACTTGTTCTTTTTATATATCTGTTTTCTTAATTTTAATACATAAATATTTCTCGATAGATTTTTCTAAAGAAACTATACCAAAACTGTGTATCTATTCATTTTAAATCACAATAGATACATGAAAAAATATGAATCTTAGACAAAATATGATAACAACATATACAGTTATACCGCACAGTATTTTTATAGAAGTATTACATTTGTTTATTAGATTATTCATTTACTTTGAGAGAAAGCCATTAAGAAGATAAGGGATTATTGGTGATGTGTAGTCAATATTAAATTTAATGCAATGTGTTCTTTCCATAGTTTTAATCCAGCCTCCTTCTATGTCTGTAATTTCTCTACATTATACAGTGAACTACTGAACCCTTAGTAATTATATAAGAGAGAACAGAGGAAATTTCTACCAAAAAACCAATTCTTAAAAAATGCTTAGTTATATTATCTCAGTGTAATCAACTTTTGAGTGAAAATAATTATTTGAAGTTCAGAAATACCTCTGTAATTCCATTTTATGTGTTAGTTTCAATTGCAAATCTCACCGAATCTGTAGTCCCAGTAATGCAAAACTGTAAAATTGACTGATTTGAGCCATACCTATATTCTTCTCCTGCCCATCAGATGTTAAAGGTGCTAATGAACTGTGAAATGGCCAAAGGCAGACAGCCAGAGGGAAAAAAGAAGAGAAGCCACAGACCTGGGTCATCACAAAATGAGTAATTAGCCATTGAATAATGAAGAATTTAAATACGTTAAGGCTCTGCCTGCTACATGCATTTTTTATTAAAATTTTCTAGAGATGTAGCTCAAAATCTATTTTCAGAAGTTCTAAAGACTTTGTTCATTTCATTGACTATAGCTGAAAAGACCCACACACTCAGAATCCTCAATATGGGTTTAGAATGGAATATATATCCATTCCTTTCATGAAAGGAAGATCCTTAGATGATATAAGAAATATAAATATTTTGCAAGTAATCATATTCCGAATTGTAGAATATATTATTTACACAGATATGTATCTAATCTACACTGAAGTTATAGATACTGTATTTAAACTCTTCACATCAGCACAAGATTTTTATTATACTAATCTTTATTACTTTGTGTGATCCTATCAATATAAGTAGCAATTTTAGTTGTAGATCTATTAGTCCACAATTAATTTCAAATTTTATCAGTCTTATGTTTAGAAAATAATAAAATTTATAATTTATTGCTTTGTGTTTATGTGTGAGTGAGCACATGGATGAGCACACATGTATGTGTGTGAATAGATTTTATTTTGTGGTACCAAGAACCACTGAGGCCAAAAGAAGAGAATGTGGCAGATGGCTTAAAATATATTTGCTCTCCATAATGAATGTAAATATAAATATAAAATAGGACTCCTTAGAAATGAGTTATTTATTTCTATTTTGCTGAGTCAGGAATCACTTGCAAAAAACTAATACTTATAATTTTTGGATATAATTTTGACCCTGAAAAAGTACTCTACAAACATTCGAGTTCTTAATTGTTTTCCACTCTGAGATTTTTTTCTGGTTTTCAAGCTGAATCACTATTTTTTTTTCTTTTTTGCTTGTGGAAAAGGTGTGCTTTGCATCTCTATCATCTTGGATCTCATTTAAAAGAAAATGAAAAGCAATATATAGATATATCCCTCTCTTTCCATCTTGTTTATAAATTTTCAGTATTATTTTTTCCCGGACACTTGACAGAGTGACTGGTAACTACATGTATACCATTGATTTTTAAATTAAGATCTTTAGGATAAATGAGATATGCAATTTTAATTGTAGATGATCTAAATATTCTAGTCCAATATCACTGACATATGTCATTATAGAAATATAAACAAATGATTTCATCAACTATTGCAGGCAATCTCTAAAATTTAGTGTAATGAACATAAGTTTTATGGTATAGAACTCACTTTTATGCATTAATGTTTTATTTGTATTGTCAGTGTCTTAAATTAAAATGGTGTTTATTAACGTGTTCAGGTTAAACTATTAACCAATTGACTGTAATACAAGTATATGTATTAATATTATTCAAATATTTATCTCCAAATCATCTTCAGGGAATATGTTTTGAGAACATCCCTTGTTTGATAACCAAGATTCTAAACATTGGCTGAGTTATTTTAGTGCTGATCACTATTACTGGAACTTTTTTTCTCACTTAGTTATTTTAGTATTACCTTAATAGAGACTCTCACTTTTCCTAGATCTGATAGTTCCTCCTTTGTTTGAGATATTATCTTATTGCACTTTAATAATAGCTATACTCTAGACAATCTCTTTAAAATAAAATATGCTCTCCACCTTGGTATTTTTGATTTACCATTGTTGTTACTATTATAATTTCTACTACGACTACAGTTACTACTACTCTTGCTGAGGCGTCATTGCAGTGAAGCAGGAGGCTGCCAATCCCACCTATGGATGCTAAGATGTGTAATTCTGTATGCAACCTGATTTCCTTCCCTGGCCACATTTATTCTTTTTATTGGAATTTGGGACCTGAATTCAGGCATACATTTATTCCATGTGAGTACAGATTTTGTAAGATAACAGGGACTCATGGCTTGGGGATGCCTTTTTGGAACAGCCATCACTACCAAGTGGACAGTTTCTCAGAGAACTACAAAGATAAACAATTATGCTGACCACAAAAAGAAGATCAAGTGAGTAGTGGACTAAACAAATCTAAAGTTCCAGTGAGTACTGACATTTCATTTCATCTATGAAAGATGCTGCTGTCTTCACTAACAAAGACTGTATCCTGTGTTTTTTCCTTGTTTTAACTTAAATTACTTTGCACTGGTTTCTGTTTCTTGAGGTTAAATATGCCTTAAGACTACACTTAATGGAGCTTAATTATACTTTTATAATTTCTGAGTTAATTGGTTGACTCGGTTAAATTTCTATTTTCTTTAAAAATTTTCAAATCTTTATCAATAATTTGTTTTCACAAGGTACTTTTGGGGTTCATTAAACTGTTCTATATCTTGATTACAGTAGTGGTTATGTAATTCTATGCATTTGTCTAAATTTATAGAACTGTATGCTAAAAAGAGTTAATTTTACTGTATGTAAATTTTTTTTTTTTTTTTTTTTTGAGGTGGAGTATCACTCTTTTGCCTAGGCTGGAGTGCAGTGATGCAATCTCGGCTCACCACAACCTTCCGTCTCCCGGGTTCAAGCAATTCTCTTGCCTCAGTCTCCCAAGTAGCTGGGACTACAGGCGCGCACACCATGCCAGGCTAATTTTTGTATTTTTAGTAGAGACTGGGTTTCACTATTTGGCCAAACTAGTCTCGAACTCCTAACCTCATGATCTGCCTGCTTCCGCCTCCCAAAGTTGTAAATCCCAAAGGAATTAGAGGCGTGAGCCATCGTGAAAGTATTCTTAAAGTATGCTTTTTAAAAGGATATTGAATATACTATCATATAATTTTGATGTCTCTATCAGATATCTGATAAATCAAGGAAATATGAAATCAGAATTATCAATATAATTATCACTTTTTTGTTTTAGAATATGAGCTTCATGAAAACAGGGCATTGTCTTGCTTTATGCTTTGCCCTGATACTTAGCTCATTATAGGCACTCAAGAAATGTCATTGACTTAATAAATTAATTAATTCTTGAACATTATAGGATATGTAATAATGGCTATCATATATTAAAGGCCCAATTTCGTCAATCAAAATACCAAATACACTTTTGAAGAATATATACAATTTTTTGTACCACATATTTTAAACTATAAAGACACACAGTAGGTACCAATATCAGTTTCCATTTATTTATTTTTGGACCTTTAAGATTCTGACTATATCGTCTCTCTCAAAACCCTGGCCTCAGACGATCCACCGGCCTTGGCCTCCCAGAGTGTTGGGACTGCAGGTGTGAGCAACCGTGCCTGGCTGTCATGTAAAACTAAAAAAAAAAAAAAAAAAAAAAAAAAAGATTCTGTCCACAATTCTTCACAATGTGGCTTAGAAAATCACTCTTATCCAGTATGTACTTTCTTGTCAGCATACTTTCCTTGTTATTCATTCAGCACATGCTAACTAGTTTCTAACTTTGCATCAGGTAATGCACTGGTCCCATAGGATATGGAATACAATGGAATGTCAAGTTCATGCTTCAGAAATCTCGATACAGTGAGTTAATTTTCGTCTAAGTACTACTTCCAGTTATACTCATTTGAATGATATCCATGTACCACCTTGTTTATTCCTAACCATAAAGCTATAAAGTAAATATTATACATATAGACCTTATAAATGAAAAGGTAGAATAATTCATGTTCAGATAACACATGTCCTGACTCCCAAACCCATTCTAATATGAAGGTACTCATTCAAAATGTCTCTGGCTATGATCTGTTGTTGTTGTCATTTCTTTTTAAGATTACCCCTGCCAAAATGATTTCATCTTTCCTTGGTCTAAGTTCTCATTTTACTTATTCTTTAGCTTGATCAAATATTACATTATATTTACTAAATGTCTACCATGTGCAGGAACATAGTATTCTCCATGGTACACAGATTGACTTGTCATCATTAACTTATTTAGTAATAGATCATATGTTCACAACAAAATTAAGTGGAAAATAGAGATTTTCCATACACTCCCTTCCCCACACTTGCATAACCTCCCTTATTAACAGTATCTCCCACCAGAGTGACACATTTGTTACAAATGATGATGAAGCCACACTGACACTTCATTATCACCCATAGTCCATAGTTTACATTAGGTTTCACTCTTGGTGTTATACGTTCTATGGGTTTGGACAAATGTATAATAACATATATCTACCGTGAGAGTATTATACAGAGTAGTTTCACTGTCTTAAAAAGCCTCTGTGCTCCTCCTGTTCATCCATCACTCTCCACCAACCTCTGGCAAATACTGATTTTTTTACTGCCTTCATAGTTTTGTCTTTTCCAGAATATCATGTATTTGGAATCATACAGTACATCACCTTTTTAGATTCACTTTTTAAATTTAATAATATGCATTTAAGTTTACTCCATGTCTTTTCATGGCTTGATAGCTCATTTCTTTTTAGTGTTGAATAAGGTTCCATTGTCTGGACGTGCCACAGTTTATGTATCTATTCTCTTACTGAGGGACTCCTTGATTGCTTCCAAGTTTTGGCAATTATGAATAAAGCTGCATCTTTAAAGTAAGTACTTTCTCCTATTGTCTTAAGCAAATGGTTACATATATTGTTTGAAATATTTCAATATATAGACTGAAATATTACTTCAACCTCCAATCTGTAATAAATAGGTGTGTTACAGAACACAAAGAAAGAGAATACCAGCCAGAGTGTTTACAATATGAGCTCCTTAAAGCACAATTGTACCCGATCATCGACCACTTTGCCTTTGAACTGATATCAGGTAAATGCATATGAAGATGCGTGGATACACACTCTTCTAGGTACACATTGTTATGTCAACCAGCATTCCCAACCTGGTAACTTCTTGGCATCCACATAAGTTACTAAGATCACTTATTTTAGTATATGAAGTGAAAAAAGAAAAAAGACAGTCTTTCAGCAAAGAAGCTTCAATTAATTTAAAACACACAATAATGGGCTCTAAAATAACAACTGCATTTTAACCAGTAAGTTCATTAAACATTTTCCCAAACTCATAACCATTATTTTGCTTAGTCAGATGTTTTCTCAAAGGAGAGTTCATTCATTTTAACTGCTTAAAATACATGATGAATGAAGCAATTTACTTTTTTATTTACATTTTACCACTGATAATATTTTATTAAAAACACCACCACAAAAGAGCACGTTGTGACTTTAATCAGTGCTTATTTTCTAGGGCAAGGCTTTGTTTTATATTTAAAACTGTAGAGTTATGTTTGTGAATTACACATAATAAGATGTTCCTAGAAATTATGAGAATATCCTATGTTAAAATTAATATATGTCCATTGTTTAATATAAACATAAGAATAAATACAGATTAGTGATGTCTGTCATGCAATATTTTTTAAGAGGCAACTGAAAATTGCAATATTTGGAATAAAGATAAATTATATTGTATTCAAATGAGATGGTATAGCAATGAATTTTTTCTTATTTTTTCAAGTTTGAGAACAGATAAATAAAAACAGATCATCTGAGATTTCTAAAGCACCATTATCAATATCATTCTTATTTTCCCAAAAATAACAGTAATCCTACATTTTTTTTTTGGTTTTGTTCAGGAGAGCGTAAAAAACACATTCATATTGGCCATTATTGCCTAATTAGTTCATATGCACATGCAATTTCCTGTTACCACCCAAAACACTTACAAAATCTGAAAAATACATATTTTATTATTACTTGTAAATTATTGAAGAAAGATAGATGAGTGAATAACTAAACAAAGACAAACCAGGGTATTGTGAATGTAAGATTTTTAAAATCACATTTTGAGTGTAGCTCATATTCATTGTTTTTATGTTAACCTTAATTTCCTATTAATTGGAAATTTCTTGGATGATTTTCTTGAATTTTCCAAGTAGATAAATGTATTATCTGTAATGATGAAAGTCACGTTATTTTAAATATCGTACCTCTTATTTCTTTAACTTGTCTTGCCGAATGAGGTAAGCCCTTAGTACAATCCTGAATAGCAGTTTTGAAGGGGGCAGCCCTATCTTGTTCCTGAATTTAATGGTAATGCTTATAATGTATCTTAATTAAAGTGACACATGCTGATAATTTCTGGTGAATAGCTTTAAAGTCAAGGAAATTTTATTTTTATTCCTAGTTAGCTAGGAGTTTTTTAAAAAATAAAGAATAAGTATTGAGTTTTATCAACTTCTTTGTAAGATTTATTAAGGTGATCATAGTTGTTCTTTAAGATGTTTATGTGAGTAATTATATTAATACATTTTCTGATATTAAACTGAGATTATGCTATGATAATGGTCATAATGTATGATTCTTTTTAATAAACAAGAGTATCATTTTAATAACACTATTTTACTAGATAATGTTGTGCTAAGGATTTTTACATCCATCTTCACATAAAATTAACTTTCCTTGAGTATTTTTCTCGCCCAACTTTTAAATTAGCATTATGATAGTTTCAGAAAATTTGCAGAATAACCTCTCCTATCTAGGTCTCTCTCCCTTTCTATTTCTCTCTCTCATTTATTCTCTGTTCTAGAAAATTTACTTAACAGAAAATTATTTGTTCATTGACATTTTGTTAGAGCTAAGCCATTGGGCTTGGTGTTGTTGATAAGGATATACCCCTGTCTTCTATTTATTGTTGGCTATAATTGTTGGCCTATTTGGAATTTGTATAGATATATTGAATTGGTGATTTCAGTTTTCCTAGAAAATAATTCATTTTAACTGTATTCATATTAGCGTAGAAATACATTTATATAAAGCTGTCTATATTAATCTTACACTTTTTGAAATATCTGAAACTATACTTATGTATCCCTTTTTTCCACAGACTACTTGGTCAGACTTTCCAAAGGTTTATCTTGTTTAGTGGTCTTTTAGGGAGAGCATCTTTTTGTTTTATTAATAAATTCTAATGTGTATTCTGTTTTCTATTTTATGTACTTCTAATTTATTTTTTACTTTTGAGTTTTTCTTTGTTAAACTTTTAGTTCATTTTATTTTATTTATTTATTTAATTTTATTATTATTATACTTTACATTTTCGGGTACATGTGCACAACGTGCAGGTTTGTTACATATGTATACATGTGCCATGTTGGTGTGCTGCACCCATTAACTCGTCATTTAGCATTAGGTATATCTCCTAATGCTATCCCTCCCCCATTCCCCCACCCCACAACAGTCTCCAGTGTGTGATGTTTCCCTTCCTGTGTCCATGTGTTCTCATTGTTCAATTCCCACCTATGAGTGAGAACATGCGGTATTTGATTTTTTGTCCTTGCGATAGTTTGCTGAGAATGATGGTTTCCAGTTTCATCCATGTCCCTACAAAGGACATGAACTCATCCTTTTTTATGGCTGCATAGCATTCCATGGTGTATATGTGCCACATTTTCTTAATCCAGTCTATCGTTGTCGGAGATTTGGGTTGGTTCCAAGTCTTCGCTATTGTGAATAGTGCTGCAATAAACATACATGTGCATGTGTCTTTATAGCAGCATGATTTATAATCCTTTGGGTATATATCCAGTAATGGGATGGCTGGGTCAAATGGTATTTCTAGTTCTAGATCCCTGAGGAATTGCCACACTGACTTCCACAATGCTTGAACTAGTTTACAGTCCCACCAACAGTGTAAAAGTATTCCTATTTCTCCACATCCTCTCCAGCACCTGTTGTTTCCTGACTTTTTAATGATCGCCATTCTTACTGGTGTGAGATGGTATCTCATTGTGGTTTTGATTTGCATTTCTCTGATGGCCAGTGATGATGAGCATTTTTTCACGTGTTTTTTGGCTGCATAAATGTCTCCTTTTGAGAAGTGTCTGTTCATATCCTTCACCCACTTTTTCATGGGGTTGTTTGTTTTTTTCTTGTAAATTTGTTGGAGTTCACTGTAGATTCTGGATATTAGCCCACTGTCAGATGAGTAGATTGCAAAAATTTTCTCCCATTCTGTAGGTTGCCTGTTCACTCTGATGGTAGTTTCTTTTGCTGTGCAGAAGCTCTTTAGTTAATTAGATCCCATTTGTCAATTTTGGCTTTTGTTGCCATTGCTTTTGGTGTTTTAGACATGAAGTCCTTGCCCAGGCCTATGTCCTGAATGGTATTGCCTAGGTGATTTTCTTCTAGGGTTTTTATGGTTTTAGGTCTAACATGTAAGTCTTTAATCCATCTTGAATTAATTTTTGTATAAGGTGTAAGGAAGGGATCCAGTTTCAGCTTTCTACATATGGCTAGCCAGTTTTCCCAGCAACATTTATTAAATAGGGAATCCTTTTAATAAGAATACAGATTTTAAGATTTATATTGTCATAACTTTCTAAGATGTTTATAACTAGAAAGTGTCTAAGTTGAACAGATGTTACAACACCCCTCTTTGACACACACAATCTCTATACACACACTGTTGTTTAAAGAGGTTTACATTTACTATTTTTTTTTTTTTTTTTGAGATGGAGTCTCACTCTGTTGCCTAGGCTGGAGCGCAGTGGCACGATCTCGGCTCACTGCAACCTCTTACCTCCCAGGTTCAAGCGATTCTCATGCCTCAGCCTCCTGAGTAGCTGGGACTACAGGCACCTGCCACCACACCTGGCTAATTTTTTGTATTTTTAGTAGAGACGGGGTTTCACTGTGTTAGCCAGGATGGTCTCGATCTTCTGGCCTCGTGATCCACCTGCCTCGGCCTCCTAAAGTGTTGGGATTACAGGCATGAGCCATCGCGCCCAGCCTATGTTTGCTTTCGAAACCTCTCAACATTCTTGCTGTATTTACATAGGCCCCAAATTAATCTCATGGGGTTCTTTATATCATATACTACCACTCAACGTCACAGAAATATATCACTTGCCTCAAGATTAAAAACCATAGGAATTCATACAGGGGATATATTGGATTAAGAAAAGTATTTGAGATACAGCAAAGGTATAGAATTACATACATGAATTTATACCAATTTTATAGATGAGAGGGCAATTTGAACTAGTTATGTATAAGGACAAAATATGTGGATGAGAATATGTTCACCCTTTAAAAAATTCCTCAAACCTACACAAATTTTGTCTTTGCCCTCAAGTTACACATAGTTTAGGGAGTGATGTGTTTCCATGTATAAGGCAGTTTTGAATTGTGAAATTTATGTTTCTTGAATGATATGCTACTGATAGCACTATTTCATCAGACATTAATCTCCTATTATTGTGCTTTCAATGGTTAAATTCAGTTGAAAATTAAAAATTAAATATCTTTGGGATTTCTAATGAAATGGTAGCTACCAGTCGGTGATAGTATCTTCCAGACTTGGGGAACAGAACTCTGATGAGAAGAGATAGAATTATACAGATATTTCCGGGTACTAATAACTTAATTCTTATCTTTCTTCAGAAATATATGAAGTATTTTTAGTGTTCTAAACAATTATCAAAGTTGCCTTTGAATTCTATGACTCTCATCTTTACTTAACACTGGGAGTCATTATATAACGATTAACTATATGGCTAAACTCTGGATTTTGAGAAGGAAGAAACAACTCTACATGAGACTCACTGTCTTAATATACACTTATCTTAGAAGAAAGAAGGCAAGATTAACTGGAGTAAAATACCAGCATATCTTTGTGCAGTTATCAAGTAGAGACGTGGAAAGGCAAAAATCAATTCCTCTCTTAGGATGGAGTAAGAGTGCTTCCCAGGGAACACTTGTGTCTTCTATATCCAGATTATTACCTTCTCCAAGACATCACCTGCAGTCCCTCATCCTACAGTGCAAATAAACACCGAAGCCTCCTCACCCTCTCCAATCCTGATTCCTGATGGGAGGGAGAAGAGAACCACATCACCTGAGTCAGTGGTTACAGTTTAGATTACTTTGCCTCAGGATTTGGATTTTTTTTCATACTTCCTTGTCACTATCTATAGGTTACATAGTGTTCAGAAGGTAGAGAAGAGCGCCTTTATATTTTAGTGTTTGCAAATCATAATGAATGCTACATGAAAAATGAAAGTAATCTGTTTGTGTTTATGGTTACCTCTATTCAGCATTTCTTGCATTTGTTGGTATGCCAATAACACTTCATGATTCCAGTGTTCATCCAGTTGATGTTATTGGAATCTGTGCTAAGGATACTTATTTACTGTTGCTCATACATACAGTGATTTCTACTTATTTTTATAAGTGAGCAATATAAACTCAGAAATGCATTGTTTTATTTACCTAGTAATTTATTCACTCAGCCAGTTTCTCACAGTGTTAGTTAAGGTTATGTGTGCTCCCTTAATAGAAAAACTATGAAATCCCTATGGCATAGCACAACAGAAGTCTCTTATTCAATAAGTCTAGTGTAGGGCTTCAGAACAAAGTGTTTCTTCTGATGTTAATTTCCTTGTCACTTGCCAGCTGACTGCTAAAACAACGCAACCTATTTTAGGCTTTTTGTTATAACCTAAGGTATCATTTTCAATAATAATAACAATAAGAATGCTAGCTGCTGTAATAGATAAACTCAAGGCCCTATGGCTTAATATAATGCCAGAAGCATGTAGAAATTAATAGAAAATATATATATTGTTCACTCACACAACTGTCTCACACTTATTCTTCATGGCTTGACTTCTACATTGTGATTTTGTTATCTTTCATCTTTTAGAGTCAAGATTATTGACTTTTGGAATATCTGGAGTCAAGATTATTATAGAAAGGAAAAAGTGGAGAGACAGCAGACTCACTTTTTAAACCCATTAGATCAGAATGAACACACATTGATAATGTTAATTTTCCACTGGCAAAAATTACATACATATCCCAGGTGTTCTATGCAAAATTCTGCCCCCAACCATAAGATGGTCAGATCCTCTGAATTAGTGTACATGGTCAAAGGACCTTTGCAGATGTGATTAAGAGACTAAATATAAAGAAGATTAGTCTGGCTTATCCAGGTGAACCCAATATAATCATTTCTTTATATAGGAGAACCCTCCTGGCATGGTCAGAGGGAGGTATGACTATAGAAGAATGGCCAGAAAGATGCAATGTCGCTGGCTTGGAAGCTGGAGGAAGGAGGCCACAAGCTTAAGAAATGCAGGAAGCCTCTAGCAGCTAAAAAAAAGGATGGATATGGGCCGGGTGTGGTGGCTCATGCCTGTAATCCCAGCACTTTGGGAGGCCAAGGTGGGTGGCCTGAGGTCAGGAGTTTGAAACTAGCCTGGCCAATATGGTGAAACCCCGTCTCTACTAAAAAAAATACAAAAATTAGCCAAGCGTGGTTGTGCACGCCTATAGTCCCAGCTACTCGGGAGGCCGAGGCAGAAGAATCACTTGAACCCAGGAGGTAGAGGTAGCAGTGAGACGAGATCATGCCACTGCACTCCAGCCTGGGTGACAAAGTGAGACTCCATCTCAAAAAAAAAAGGAGGGTTATGGATTCTCCTTAAGTTTCAAGAAAGGAATAGAATTCAATCAGACTCTTTGATTTTTAGCTCTGTGAACCCATAAAAGAACTGTAAAGATAATAAATTTGTGTTGTTTTATAACAGTGAGTGTATGATAATTATTAAAGCAGGAATAGAAAACTAAAACACAGATGTTCTAAACCTTGCTACTGCTGGTATTTTGGGCAAGAAAATTCTTTGTTGTAGGAAGCTATTGTGTGTACTATAGAATGTTTAGCAGTATCACTGGTCTATACTCACTAGATGCAGATGCCAGTAGCAACCCACCTTCTTCCAAGTTGTGACAACTAAAAATGTTTCCAGAGATTGCCATATATCCCTGGGGTTAAAATTATTCATGATTAGGAACCACTACAGGCAGTGGATGGGGCAAGGGAAGTAGTCCATGGCCACACAGTTACCCATCACTCTACAATAACTCTATACTACGGAAGGGTCAGGAACTTTTGGTGATCATCTCTACCATACTCCTACAGCAGATATTTAAAGAGAGCCTGCATTAGGGCTAACAGCCTATGTTCTTCATGATTTTGGGTTTACACTGGTGAACAACATAGCTTCTGTTCCCATAGAGGTTAAGATCTATAGAGGGGATAGGAAAAAAAACAACAACAACACAATTTTATAGAGAAAATTGCAAAAAGTGGTAAGTGCTATGACTGAAATGGAAAGAGTACAGTTACAGAGATTTTTCAGGGGGAGCCGCATTAGCCAGAATGATAAACCTGAGATGAAACATTTTGTCAGGGGTCTTATATAAGAAACAAATCAGGAGAATTACTGGTGAGGAGAAGGAAAGAATAGCATTTCAGAAAGATATAACAGTATGGGGAAAACTTTGTACTGAAAAAAGGAAAAAGCTTGGCTTGTGTACAGCAATGTGTGGGTAAGTGGATCTTATTTAGCAAAAGGGAGAATTACATGTTTGAGATATGAAAATCAGGTCAACTCCAGATAATACAAGTCTTTGAAAATTTTAAGTTGGGTGTGGTGGACATGCAGATGTCCACTCAAATCCCCTTCAAGGAAGGACTTGCTCCAGCTATTGCGAGTGGTGTCCACAGAGAGCTTTCAGCTGCCAGCCCCTTCTTCAGGGATTGCCTCAGCTGCAGAGCAACACCGCACCGGAGAGCATGCCTATCTGCGCCCCCTTCATCCAATAACTGAACAAAGCAGATGTTAAAGGCCAATCATTTGGACTTTTTTCTCTTCCTTTTTTTTTTTTAACGTTTACAAGGTGATCCTGAAAGAACTTTGACATGGCATATTTTCATATGCGTTCATTGCTAAACAAATTCACCTGAAACATTTTGTTCTAGAACATGATTCTCAAAGTGTAGTCACTGGATTAGTAACATTATTATCAGATGTAAACTTATACAACTAGTGAGCGCTAGTCTACACTTACTGAGTCAACATCTCTGGTGGTAGGGTCTAGCAATTTGCCTTAACATACCCATCAGGTATTTCCAGTGTTGTTAAAAGTTCGAGAACCACTGGGACAACCTTGAATTACTATTGTATCTTCATCTATTTCTGAAACAACTAGTGAACCATATAAATTTTTCTAAAACTGAGGCCTATGGGACTCTTGTTAATAAGAATAATATGGATCAAACATTCTGATAAATGAATTCCTTACTCTCCTTCTCGAAAGTGGTATAATGTAAAAGATTGAACAATAGTTGCGTGTTAGTGGCAAAACTACAAATAACCAAAAAGTGCCATTACCCAAATACATTCCCAGGTAAGTGCATTGAATTGGGAAATGTTCAAATGCTTCATAGATACTCTGATTTCTAGAAATACAGGATCTGTATTTTCTAAATATCAGTTTTGGCAGCAAGAGAGGATGAATAGATAGATATCAGAAAATTCAAATAATGTAAGTATATAAGTAAGCTTAGTAGAAAAAAAGGCAGATGAAAAACTGAATTATTAGTAGTATCAACAGCATCAGCACTTACCCAACTGGTTTTATAAAGCCCAATAATATGTCTTTCATAACATAAACAATGTTTTTAAGCCTTCCTGGGGATTTTTAGTTTTATTCATCTTCTATAAAGCCAATTGACACTAAAATAATTTATCATCTTACAAAGAAAGGTATACCTTGCTTTCATCCCATTCACTTGAAGGTATTTTCAGATTGTGGAGCAGCAGTTCTTAACTTCCAATCTGTCATTATATTATAAAGAACATACAACCATACTCTTCACCACTAATGCATACATATCACGTCAAATTAATATAAATATAAGGATTTTAAAAGTAGACCATTGAAGAAGTATGCTGGAAACAGTATAAATTTAGGTCTCAAACAGGAAGCTCAAATTCTAATGCTGTTGTTGTATTGAACAAGTCAATCAAATATACCAAGTCTCAGAAGCCTCTACTACAAAATAGATTTCATAATATCTATTTTGTAAAGATTTTGTGAGGATTGAATGAATGTACACAAGAGGAAATAAATGTTAATTAATATCTGTAATAGGGAGGTGGTAGTTGAAACAAACTGCCCAACTACAGTAGGTAAACCATTAAATATATATTTCTCATGTCTTTCTGATATGTTTAGAGCTTGCCTCCTAAGAAGTAACTCAGAAATCCAAATTACTCTTATACTATGGCCCCACTTTTATTTATCTGGCAGAAATGGAGAGAGTCTTTAGTGGTAGTCTCTATCTACATAAGTATCTACCTCAACCCAGAAGTGACACACATCAATTCATTTCATATTAATTTGGTAAGAACTAGTCACATGGTTAAGTTTAAATGCAGAGTATACAGAATGTCTCTGGCTTGACAGCTAAGCATGAATGAGTAGGAGTCAGCTAGCTATCACTGAAACAATTTAGCACTTACTTTTTCCTTTTACTTCATTTTCTTGGCCATGAAAAGAGAATGTTGCATTGAATAGTGACAAAATTAAAATTATATGTTTTTTTTCCCTAAAAAAAGAAAGTTTACAATTTGCTCCAATTCTTTCATTATATTTCTTTCATTTTCTAATTTTCGTTCTTTCCAGTTCCTAGGGCCAGGCCGCATTCTATTTTCTCTCTTTAACCTTGGAAGCTAATTATCAATTAACCCATACAAATATCAGAAGTAGGTAAAGTGTTCACATAGTACAACTGAACATATTTTATTAGACTCTACAAGAACTAAAGTTATGTTAGAATAAAAAACATGTATTTTTAAAGATGTTTTATTAATGTAACAAGTACTAGTATTTACTGAGAGATTATTCACAGGCAGCAGAGTGTATCTGAAGAGTCTTAATTCAAACCAGGTAAGCGATTGCCTGCCTCCAAAAACGAATCCTAAAAAAAATGTTCATCTCCAAGCAGAATATGGAAGGGAAATTTAACTACAAAATGATATCATAAAAATATTTTTGAGTAACATACATTATGCAATGTGGGGGCACTTTACATTTTTTTCTAAAATAAATACAGCATTTAAATATTATTATTTATTTGGAAGGAAACTATTCTGAAGGACACTAAAGAGCACAGAACCTGGATACTTTGACATTTTAAATTGAAAACCTCAAAAATCTGTTTTTATGTAATGGTGTCCCAAAAATGTTAGGTAATACAGACTAGAAAAAAATACTCAAACAAGCCCAATAAATTAAAATTATGCAATTTTAAAAGTCAATATCTAGATATGCTTCTTTTTCTGGTGATTAATTACAGATTTTGTCAAATACAAAACAAAAAGTTAACATGACAAGTTTTGAAGAAATTAAGATTCAAACACTGTTATAAAAACTATTTCTGGAATCTCAGTCCCAGTAATTAACTGCTGGAAAACACACACACACACACACACACACACACACGCAGCACCCTACAACCACATAAATCACATAGGGTGAATCATGCCAAACACAGATGAAGACTGATTTAAACAAGAATAAGAACATTAAATGGAAACTGCATGTTGTGTTGATATTTAAAAGGTCTTAGCAGTCCCACATGCAGGTTAAATCCTCATCTGTGGCATGAAGGAGCACAATTATTTACTTATAAACTGTCTGCTTACATACAAAGATCACATAAGTAAATTTCTGCATTATGCTGCAAATGTCATGCAAGAAATAACAACTGTCTGATTGATATGCAAAATGTTTGCCAGGATGGTGACAGCCAAAGTAAGTTCAAAGTCACAGGAAATGTTGTCATCAGCCTAGTGTAAAAATGTACAATTACTTGCTATTCTCTTTCTGTTTAAAGGTGACTACTACTGTCTTTTCCCTAGGCTACTTGTTCACTGTAGCTTATTATCATTACAAAGTATTAAAATGGATTAGCTTTTCCATATTGTGTTCATATTGGGAAGGGCATTTTTAGACAGCTCACTGACAAGATTTTTGAAAAAAGCATTTATTTCTCCACTAAAAATTACCAACCAGTTTGTTTTTGAGAATAAAAATCTCTAAACTGCATGCTTGCAAATTCCTCTTTCCTGAAAATTCACTTAATATAAAGAAATCAGAGAGAAGTGAGCAGTATCTAATTAATATCTTCTAATGCCCAACTAATGTCAAGCATGACTCCAATTTATAACTGAACTATATTTTTACATTGAAAAATTCAATTACATTTACTGACAGACTTTGAAATGCCACATTATTTATATTGGCAAACTTTGCAGGCTCTCAGTGTATTTATCAACATTCTTTCCACAGAATAAAGCATATATGCAATACAGATCACTGCATTCTTCATTTTTTAATCTTTCAAAGTGATATGTATATCTACCAGAGCAGCAAGGGGCTGCTTCAGCCTAAGAGAGCCAAAAGACCAAATAGAGGCAGACGTAATAATGTGCCCTTCCTTTTAATTCTCCAGGCAAAACAAGGTAACCTTGACATTTCAGTATCCTCTCTGTCTCCTGCTTCCCTTTCTCATCCTCTTTCTCGGGTGCTTGCCCCCCAGTCCCTCTGCAGTTCATCCCTGTTCATACATGCGTTCAGTACAACCACAGGGCCCTCCGTGCACACATCAACAATTCTGAGCTGTGAAGAGGTTCAATTGCCACATTGGTGACTCAGTTGCAATGCACAAATCATTTACTGGGATAGCTTGAGGACATGACAATGACAGAGAGACATCTGTTGGGTAGATAGGAGGGGAAAAGGGGGTTATTCACAGCTGGTGCATTAGTCCTGCTAGCCACTAGGCCACCACAGTGTCCTCGGTCGTCCGCTTCCTTCTCCGACTTGCTGCCTGCGCCCTGCTGTCAGCTGCCAAAAGATATCTGTTCTCACCCTTTGCTGAATGAAAAGGTGCTAATGCATGACTTCAGGATATGTCAGAACATACAGTACTTACAAGTGTTTGGAGATGCAGGCAACCTGACCATGGGGAAAGGAAATGAGTAACTAAAGAGTGATTTTCTTGTAAAGGAGAGGAAAAAAATAGTCAAGAATAGTCAAGGGTTTTTCTTTTTTTTTTTTTTTAACTATACACTGGGGGCTGGGATGATTGGGAAGTAATCTTCTTTAGCTTCAAGTCATATCTCCACTTCTCTCTCCCTCTTCAAGATATCCAATATATTTTGCAATCCATACTGACCAAAGAAAAAACATTTTCTGCAAAGCGGTCTTGGTTTATATTTTTGTAATCTGATCTTGGCAAATATACCAATTCGCATAAAAGATAAATAATTCAAAATTATTATGGAATTACTTTAGGAATACTAGTTGACAATTTTTTCTTCCTTTAATATTCTAAAGAGGAAGAGATAAAATTAGAAAGAGATTGAAACAGATATTCTACTTTCCCCGTGGTAATAGCTGTAATCAGATGACTCATTGCCATGTATTAATCAAATGTTTCTCTCTCCTCATATAACACCTAGAATGTAGAATTCATTCATTCACCTCTAAGAAAAAGGAATTCCCTTTGGTACTGATGAAACCTGAACAACTCCTTTAACATCCAGAATTCGCATCCAAATCTTCAGCTGGTTTTTGAAATCTGATAGTCCAGATGAGATTGGAGGTTTATCAAAAAACAAACAAACAAACAAACAGAAAACTAAGTTACAATGCTGGATAAACGCTACAAACAATGACACATATGCTACTAGGAGAGCAACATTTCCCACAAAAAAGTCACAGATCTAAAATGCAAAACACAATTTTAAAAAACCATATGTAGCATAAGTAAGAAAATTTTATGTTGAGCAACAATGCCTGCCAAATATAGCACCACACAAAGGGTTATCCTCAAGAGTCTGCTCTCAGGCCTTGAAACACAATTGTCAAATATCATCTCAATTTACTGATTAGTTTTTACCAATTTTCATAGCATTCTTACAGCTTAGTTGGTAGAAAGAAAAAAAACAAGTTTGAAGAGTTTAATTAAGAAGTCATATTATCAAGTAAACTGAGGTCAAATGATCCCTTTTAAATTAAATAATATGGTCATCTGCACACCTTCAATTTTACAGGGAAAAAACATAAGATTTGCTTCTTCTGAAATGATAAACAACTAAAATCAAAGGAGTCTTTGTGCAAGAGTTTAATCCACTAGTTTTGAACCTTAAAAAGAAGTGTAATTTTCATGTATAGAAAGCCACATTTTAGTCCTATTTTTGAAAGTTTAGCAAAGCCATCAAATGTATTCAATTTTTTATTTTGATTATTTTATCTATGTATTTCTAATTTATTGAGTATTTTTAATTTTGTATATCTTTTAACAGAAAAATTGAAAAGTGATAGTAAATATGAGACTAGTGTGCATCTATCTGTACATTATGCAAAGATGGGATTAAGCTATGCAAAGAAATGTTAATCTGCTAGGAGGACTTATAAAAAACAACAAAATAGCTGTTTTAACAGTTTCAATATAGTAGGAAATTGGCTAAATTGCTGTTGTTATTGTAGTTGTTAGAAATGCCTTTGAAACGCATTATCCAAGACTCTTGTAACCGAAATAATGAATTCACTTTCACCATATACCTCTGTTTATTAAGAAAACTTCTAATAGAAAAATAAGTTCTTTGTAGAAAACTGAAAATTATTTATATCAGCAACACATTCTGTGATGCTGCAAACAGAAGAAAAATTTAAATTGTTTTGTTACATTAATGTTATTGTATTACAAATTAACTATATTTGGATGAATAAATGCAATAAAACATGTTCTTTCCTTTTTAGTTTTTTTGAGACAGGGTCTCACTCAGTCACCCAGACTGGAGTGCAGTGGCTAGATCATGGCTTGCTGCAGCCTCCTTGACCTCCCAGGCTCAGGACAGCCTCCCACCTTACCCTTCCAAGTAGCTGGGACCACAGGTGAGAGGATAATTATACACCAGGCTTGGATAATTTTTTTAAAAAACTTTTTGTAGAGATGGTATATCCCTATGTAGTTCAGGTTGGTCTCCACTCCTGGGCTCAAGTGATTCTCCCATCTCAGCCTCTTGAAATGCTGGGATTACAGGAGTGAGCCACCGTACCCAGCCAAGAAATTTTATCTAGAGAAATGTGAAATACAAAAGCGGAGCCTTATCTAAAATATGCAGTATTGTTATATATAAATCTATTATATGTTATATAAAAATTCAGTTTTATTAGTGCTCTTTATTATGCTTATTAAAATGACTGACAGCTTTTATATGTAGAAATTTGATTTAATGTAATTATTAACCTTTTATTAGCTTCAGCTTTCTATCTGTACATTTTGTGTTATTTGGAATTAATGATTCCTTTGATGATGAATATTGATCAATTCTTTTCCAGTTTTGCTTGCTATATGAAAAATAATAAAATCATTATTGATGTGATAAAATCTTAGTTTGCAAATACTTCAATGTCAGATAACTTTGTGGAATAAATACTTCGTATTTATTTTTTATTATAAATTATAAATTATTTATTTATAAGTATATCACAATATACTTTATATTTTTGTTGTATTTATACTTTCCTAAAAAATGAAGATTATTTTCTTATTATATCTAGTATACAACATAATTTCATTAAATAGAATGTTAATTGCTTTTAGAAGAAAATCATCTCTGGGTTAAAATTATACCTGGCTGTGACACATACTTGTACCTAAAAGATTGGTAAGTAATAATATTTTCTTACTCAATTATTGGATATTACCACAACGAGGCATGATAAACCAAAGAAGATAGTTAAGGGAATTAGTAGAGATAACTTAATCTCCTTCCAAAAGCTACTTTAAAGCAAAAGGATATCAGTACTATATTAATAAAATATGCGAATTTCGGAACTGTCCACTTCTTGTTTGCCTACCATAATTCTTTGGTTTTATCATTCCTGTCCATTCTTAAAAGCAAACTAGGAGAAAATATAGATAACTTAACATAGGTATCTTGTAGGACATTGAAACACACACCAATTTGAATATATAAAAGAACACTGATAAGCTTAAATGAGGGAAAGAAACTCCTTTGCAATAATTCAGAAAAAACGCATGTTGGGCACTGTTCTTGGCTCTATGTATGTTCATTAAAACCCAGGCTTAGATAAAAGTTAAGACATAAAAAAAATGAATCATACAATTTTCTTATTACACTATTTCCTTATGGTTGATGACTATGTCTATATAACGGGTATTAGTTTCGTGTCCACAAATTGTACATTCAAATTTTGACAACATGATCTTCTATAATTGAAATAATCATAAATGCTTTTCTTTTATGTCATTGCTTTCTGAATGGCGAATGGTGAAGCGCCACATCAAGACATTTCTATCCCATATGTAGAGCATGACTCCTCATATGTGGCAACTAAGGGGTCAAAATTTCAGCCTGCCTTTCTTCTTACTGAATATAGAGCTTGCAGGCTAAAAAGTCTTACTGTTGGGTAAATTAATTTTTTTCATGCGTTTAGATTCTAGCTACATTGTTTATAGTTATTTGTAGTCTCCATAATACATTTCCTCTGCCTTGAATAGAATAGGTTTTGAATAAATATTTGCCAAAGAAGCCTATTGAGAGGTGACAGCGTCCTGACAGCATGCTGGCAGCCCTCGCAGCCCTCGCTCACTCTCGGTGCCTTCTTGGCCTTGGTGCCCATTCTGGCCACGCTTGAGGAGCCCTTCAGCCCGCCGCTGCACCCTGGGAGCCCTTCTCTGGGCTGGCCGAGGCCGGAGCTGGCTCCCTCGGCTTGCCGCGAGGTGTGGAGGGAGATGCACAGGCGGGAAACGGGGCTGCAAGTGGCACTTCCAGGCCAGCTAGAATTCTGGGTGGGCTCCGCAGGCTCCGCACTCCCAGCGGCTGGCCAGCCCACAAGCCCCAGGCAGTGAGGGGCTTAGCACCTGGGCTGCAGGTGGAGCTGCCTGGCAGTCCCACGCCGTGCACCCGCACTCCTCAGCCCTTCTCGCTGGGCCTTAGCTGCCTCCCCGCAGGGCAGGGCTTGGGACCTGCAGCCCGCCATGCCTGAGCCTCCCCCCTCATCCCCCTGCGGTGGGCTCCTGCACAGCCCCAGCCTCCCGGACAAGAGCGGCTCCCTGCTCCACAACGCCCATTCCCATCCACCGCCCAAGGGCTGAGGGGTGCGGGCGCACGGCGGGGGACTGGCAGGCAGCTCCACCTGCAGCCCCAGTGTGGAATCCACTGGGTGAAGCCAGCTGGGCTCCTGAGTCTGGTGGGGACTTGGAGAACCTTTATGCCTAGCTAAGGGATTGTAAATACACCAATCAGCACTCTGCATCTAGCTCAAGGTTTGTAAATACACCAATCAGGACCCTGTGTCTAGCTCAGGGTTTGTGAATGCAGCAATCAACACTGTATCTAGCTAATCTAGTGGGGATGTGGAGAACTTTTGTGTCTAGCTCAGGGATTATAAATGCACCAGTCTGCACCCTGTCAAAACGGACCAATCAGCTCTCTGTAAAACAGATCAATCGGCTCTCTGTAAAATGGACCAATCAGCAGGATGTGGGTGGGGCCAGAAAAGGGAATAAAAGCAGGCTGCAGGAGCCCCAGTGGCAACCTGCTCTGGTTGCCTTCCACAGCGTGGAGGCTTCGTTCTTTTGCTTTTGGCAGTAAAACCTGCTGCTGCTCACTTTTTGGGTTTGCACTGCTTTTATGAGCTGTAACAATCACGGTGAAAGTCTGCAGCTTCACTCCTGAAGCCAATGAGACTACGAACCCACGGGGAGGAAAAAACTCCAAACACATCCGAACATTAGAAGTAACAAACTCCGGACACGCTGCCTTTAAGAACCGTAACACTCACCGCGAGAGCTCGTGGCTTCATTCTTGAAGTCAGTGAGACCAAGAACCCACCAATTCCGGACACACTATGACAAATATTTATTCAAAATATTTGAAGCCTATGCAAGGAGGCCTGTTTTTCCAAAGTTAAAACTTAAAGAGACAGTTATAACCCTCAACTGAATTCAATTATTCCTTCACACTATTTACTCTAATGTCAGGTTTTTTTTCAAGTTAAACGTTAAGCTCAAACATTACACAGGTAGATTTACGATGTGACAGACTTAATCTCATTTCAAAAAAAGCAACAGATCACATCTCTATGTTATTTTATTGAGATTGCATATGCTGTTGATTTTGTGTTTGTTTGAAACAACAGTGGAGAGAGAGGACAGCAAAGCCCTTGCTATTACTCGCTCATAATACTTCATGGCTACATCTGCGGTTGACAATTTTCTGAAAAAAAAAAAAAAAAAACATGGGATACACTAGCATTTAAATGACATACTAATGTTCCTATGGCACAAAGAATCTCTGGCTTCATATATTTAACAAAAGGAACAAATAATCTTGAACTTATTTCTAACTCTTGCCTTGACTCATTACAAGAAACAGAGTTATGTGGCAATATGCTTTGGGAGAATGAAAAGCATCTTGATTTTCCTATCAATAGATGCAAAAAGTGTGTTTTTTCAAATGGCATGAAACATGAATAGAAACTTTTGTAATCGTCAAGTGGCACCATTCTTTAGTTTGGGTATGGCATATGTACTGCAATCATCATTCAAGTTAATGTAATTCATCCTACTAAAAATTTCATGAATTATGTGATTTATATTATTTTCTAAATGCTAGTATCTTCTGAAAATCTATTCTTTAAAATTTCCACAAATTTTAATTCCAATCAATAATCACTTAGTTAATAAATTTCCTTGATTAGTAAAACTTAGATTGATTTTATCATGACAGAATCTTTACCATAAGGCAGAACTCAGAATATCTTATAAAGAAAATGTAAACTGCTAGACACAAATTTCCACTTCAGAGTAGCAGCTTTTAAATACAAAAGTCTGGTTTCCTTGCAATATTTGTATATATTTTTAAAATTTTAAGATCTGAATTATATCTTAGAAATTTTAAGATAGGAATTATCTCCTGTCAACTCCACAAAATTATTGAAAATTTTAGCGTGTACTCCAATAAGTACACTATGTTAATACCTCACCTCTCATTGGAAAGCATGCAAGACATCATGACTAACTTTGTGGTTTAATGTGACTCAATGAAATGATGATTAAGCCACCTGCCATAAAATCTCATACAATTTTGCTACTAATAAGACATTAAAAATGCATGTAAACTGTACCTATAGATTTCTAATATTGTCATTACTAATAAGAAGAAAAAACAATCTTATTTATGTAAGTTATTCAGGAAGTTACAGACAAGATTAAAATGTAGTAAAACAATTTTTCACCAACTTTTAAAAAGTTCTCTTGGTGTAGTAGAGGTACACAGCTCTAACTATCTATAAGAATTTGAGTTGATATAAAATTCATAGTTAACTATATCAGTATTTTTATCAATGCAATTTTGATAATATTTAAATGGCCAAAACTAATCACTGAAACCAAAGAATTAGAACATAGGCATTGAAACTAGAAAGAAAGGTTTGCTAATTAACTTCAGTAAGTTATACGGGAGAAATGATAACAGAATATCCAAGAAAAGAAATACATGATGTATAATTTTGAGTGTTTTGAAATAGTAACCATATAAAGTCAGACATTTGAAGTAAAATGATTAATGCCAAGCACTATTATCATCCAATCTACTGGAAAAAATTGTGGAAAAAATCTATTCATTCATCCATACATTAATTCATCTTATGTAGATTTTTTCTTGATGCAAACAAAAACATAATGCTTCCTAGTCTTTGAGATGAAAAGAGTTTTAGGTGGAAATATAAAGCTGAGAACCATACCATAAGAGCAGAAGTTCAGATATCACAGGTGACTAAGAAAACCAACAAAGCGTTTTCAGGGATGAATGTTTTTCTTGATCTATTCATCATAAAATGTGCTACTCCAATAGCCCTTTCTAAAGAAAACTGTCCTACACAAAGCCCTTGCTAGAGGGGCAGGCCAGCCTGTGACTTCAGCCTTTCTCCTGAGTCATAGGCCAGCCTCCTTAGGCCAGCAGGTTGTATGAGCTGATTGAAGAGAAGTTAGGAAGTATAAGGATAATTGGACAGTTTGTGAGAGACAGGCGAATTGCTTTCCACAAATACAGAGTACAGGCCATGGTAGTTTATAAATAAGCTAAAACTGAGAGGCAACTGAAGCCATGAGCTAGAGAAAACATGTAGACTACAGGGAAAAGAAATCACTTGGCACAGGGAAGAGTAGACACATAGAAGTAAACACCAACAGAGTTAGCTAAATTTCATCAAAGATTAACCATTAGTGTGATGATTCACGAACTCCTGTGCTCAGGCCCAGCAGAGAGTCCTGGATCCAGTCTTAGATGTAGTAATGCCTGGTCCTGCTGTATTTTTGTCCTTCCCATGGGATCTCTGGTCCTTTTGTGACAATATCTGTATCCTCCCTTCTTGAAAAACCTGGTAAGCCCTATCTCTACATATCCAAAAGAATCTCACTAAAATGCCTGTTCAATGCCATCCAGAACATTATCTTTGAATATACTTCTAACTTTTCTTTTCTTCTCTATCTTACTAGATACTCACTTTTTTTCTATGAAAGTTTATATGCAGATCCTGCAGCCTCCATATATATAATGGATTCTGCCCTCTAACTTTCCCTGTGTTCAGTGACGGGATAGGGGGAAATTGTTCCACTTTGAGTCATTAAAGGAGACCTTTTATTCTGCTAAGTGTGCTGACATTCTTTCCCTTTCTTTCCTGTATACCTTCTCCTCTTGATCTTTTTATCTGAACTATTCATTCTCCTTGCTCACAGTCAACCTGATTTCCTTTTTATATGCAACCTTCAAGTTAACTGAGAATGAAACTAATTAATTAGCATGCTTGATTTTCGATCTTTAGTGTCTTCCAACAAAATATAAGTGGCGTTGATATATGAAGAGATAGATATATTAACCACCTTTATGTGCCGTTGAATCCTTTTATATTAATTACTACTCCACCTTATGTTTTATTCATGTATGAAAATTGTTTGCATTAGCACATATTTCCCAATAAAATTATAAATAATGAAGGATAGAAATGCTTTATTATGCCAAATGAAACCTACTGCTGCATTAACTTATTTTTGTTCCAAATTTAGTAGTTAATATTAATAGATATATACTCTATCTCTTTTCAAAGCGAAAACATACAAATATGTACTAAAAATGTTCAAAATGTTTTTGCAATGGTATAGAAATTATGAATTTAATTTATAATTCTGAAAGCCAATCAATAGTCTTATCAGGAACACTTTTAGAATTTGTGACTCTGTGATGTGCCAATATTGTTAAGATAATATAATTGATTAAGGAGGTAATGTACAGACAAGGGCTCTATAAACTTTATAGTGCTATCAAAATATAAAAGATCAAACTATGTCTCTTTTTCTGAATATATGACTATAAAAGCACAAAATAAACAACCTGTAGTAGCTTGCTATACCCAAGACTTCAGAAACAAAGATAATATCTTGAATGTTCTTTTTTAGAGAAAAAGAATGACTAGTATTCTCACAATCCTGTAATCTTCATATTTTTAACATTCAGACTTGTAACACACACTGTGTGTTTCTTCACAAATTCTAATTAACAACTTAATCGAACAGTGCCTTTCTAGATATGTGTAAATTGTGTGGTGATCCGAAGGTAATACCCTAACATTAGTGGGTCTTCCCATAGTCTTTCGCAGCATTGAAAGTAAGATTGATATATTTACTTGCATGAATGCTTGCCAGGGAACTCAGCCTAGGTATTTGGAAATATTTACCTATGATTTGGAGACTTTACTGAAGATACACCTTGTCACTACAGTGTTCCATGACAAATATCAGGGATGTATAGTAGTGAGGATCCTCATGTTGGAAGGGAAGAGCAGTAGTTGCTGTTCTGTGCTACATTAATCTTGAAATTTGTTTTAATCAACTGACCTTACTCTAGATTTCTGAGGGTTAGTTTTCCTTGGGCTTGGACAACAATCTGACTTCCTGTTGTTGGAAAAGAGAGGTGAGAAATGATCAAAAGAAAACAGTAACAGACTAGTTTGACCAAGCTATACCCAGATTATGATGGAAGACTAGCAGTCCTCTTTGGGTTAAAGACAAACATCTGTTTTGGGGAAACTTTATAAATGTTGTAAGATATTATAAAATGATAAGGGATATTTATATAGAAGACAACACATGTTATGTGAAGGGAAATGGACCTTGATCTGTGTTCATAATCTGGATTCTGGCATGCACAGATAAAACTGATGAGTACTGCACAAGGGAGTAGCAGAGGAAACTTAACTGTAGGGAGGGAGAAAACCCCTGCCGATATGGAGGGTGGGCATGACTGAGAAAGTCAGAGGTCCTTAAAAGTACTGTGAGAGTTGTGTTGGATCAGTCCCACACCTAGAACCCTTCTCCCTGATAAGGAGAGACTGAGTTAAGAATTTAAAATTTTTGTCATAAAGGCTGGAGCTGTGAAGCAGAGGCAGTGTCCTATAAGAAAAAGACTAGTCATTGGGAGAGAGGAATCCCAGAGAGCTGTTCTTTACAGTTTTGTTTCTTGTTTAAATTCGAGAACTAAAAATCCAGTCCCAGAGTGCGTACATAGTCAAAGCAAACATGGAAAGTTCAGAAGTTATGCAGTGAACCATCAGAGCCTATTAAGAATCTAATCTTTCTCCAAGTAATGTTGGGGTCAGGCAGCTAACTGCAACCTAGCCTTTGGTTTAGTTACATTTTGATGTCTCAGGACCTCTCAAAAAATTTTGATCTGCCATGTTTTCTCCATATCCCTTTATGTCTCTCCAAGATTACTAAACTATGCATAATAAAATGTCATTATACTTGAATTGCAAAAATTGGAAAGATTCATAATACCAAGTGTTGGCAAAGATATAAAACAACTAGAAATTGAATACTTTTCTGGGAGATTGCAAAGTGGGTCAGTTATCTTGAAAAACAGTTTGATAGTTTTGTTTTAATAAAGTTAACCATATACTTACCATACAATCTATCCATCCTAATTCTAGACATTTCCCAAGATAAGTGAAAACATGTTTACACAAATACCTGTAAGCAAATATTCATAATAACATTATTCTAAAACTGGAAGAAACGAAAATGTTTATGAACTGATGACTGAATAGACAAGTAATGGAGTATTTGTACAGTGGAATACTACTCAAAATAAAAAGAACACATTAAAACAATGTGTACAAAAACATGGATGAGCCTCATAAACAGGGTGCTGTATAAAAGAAGTACTCCATAATTCCTTACACATTAAGGTATACCATCTTAGAAACAGTACAGCTGTAAAGGCCAATTCTTACATGTCCTTAAACTACCCTTTGAACATTATACCTTCCTCTGACACCAGAGTCTAAGCTTTTCCATTTATTCTGCTTTTGCCAATCTTTCTCTCCTGGATCAATATCTATCATCTTTTAAAATCAAGCCCAAATGCAAGATCCAGCCTTTCCTCAGTCGCCCACATGTTTCTTTACTCTCGTTATTAACCTCTACAGCACCATTATAGCGTCAGCACTGGATAGGCAGGCTCAATTCTTGGCAACAAACATTTAGCTCACTTCATTGTGATAATTTGCTCTCTCCAAGAAAGGACTCCTCAAGATTAAGATCTTCATTTGCTTTTTCTCTGTATCTCCTGGTTCAGAGTGTCCTGCATAGAGTGAGCATCCAATTAATCTTGAATGTGTTATGTTTAATCCGTTTTGTGCCTTTGTGATTACTCAAAAAGATGACAATATGAACCACATACATATAAAACAATAAAGTTTTATAGTGATGATTATTTTTGTTTTTCTGTATTGATCCTAGTATGTAGCAGGGCTATATTATGAAAGGTGAGTTAACATGAATTTTTCTTTTAATGTTAAGAATGGTGCCCTTCACATTACAAGCTATTCCAAAGTTGCAGAGAAAAAATAGGTCTTTGAAACTTTCTAGAAAATAGCAGATAGTTTATTTAATTACTTTAGTTTTCCTTTAGCTATTATTTCTTAAATATAATTGAAAAATGAGTTAGCTCTTATACTTTTAAGAATATATACAAGCTATTGTACTAAAATGTTACTGTATTAAGTAACAAGAGAAAAATAAGTAAAAACAAATGAACTTAATTCTAATACTGACAGAAATATTGGAAAGTGGAAATAAACAGTTTTTCTGTCTAAACTCTTATAAAAACCTTAGTTTAACTTATATTTAACAAATCTAAATAGATTTAACAAATTTAACAAATCTAACTTAGATTTTTAGCAAGGTACAGCTCCCCTGTAGAAGCCATGCTCTTTCTGAAGAGGTCTGAAGCACAGCATATTAATAAAGGGATTCTACGAGTTCTTAGCTCCTTTGCTGTCCTCTCCTCTTCAGCCTATATATAGTTAGGTTTGTTAAATGTATTTTTACTGAAAAATACATTCAGTAAGACTGATTGATGTAATCGACTCTAGCATGTAGATAGGGAGAAGAAATGGATTTATCATTAGTTTAGAAGGCTGTCTGGTATTATAGATTTACTAACAAAAAGTACAAACGATGCCTATAAAAATACTTAGATGTTTGATGTTTGAATAGTTGCTCAAAATTTAAGATTCAGTAATAAAGTCAGCTCAGAAGACTCACTAAAATATGAAGAGTAAACAGTCTGACCTGAGAGCAGTAGACTTGGATGATTTTATGAATAGTTTTGATGCCAAGGTAGGATGCACCTTTTATATTCAACGTTAAAATGTGAGAGAAAAAGTAATTAACAAAATAATGTTCACTGAAGCCTGAATCAGAATAATACCCTTAATAAGTACAAATTCTAGAACTGCAAAAAAGGATAATGCTTGAGAATGTGACGGGTGGGATCCAGCACTTCGAATACACATAGAATTAAAATCTTTAGTATAAATTTGTCTTAAGATATCAAATGTGTCTGATACTAACTAATATCTATTATATCCAAACTATTCAGACATTAATTACAAGTTCTTAAGACCAAGGTCTTATGTAGTTCTGTCTTAAAGAGTCTCGCAGAGTATTTTGCTGGTAATAATCACTTGATAAGTGTTTGCTAAATAAATTATTCAGTTGTACTGAAATTTGGTTGTTTGAATCATGCTAGAAATAAATGGGTTATCTCACAGATTGAAAATATTTTGTTGTAGAAAATTATCTATTATAATATGGCCTATGGCATTTTGTTTCAATAAGTCTTCTGAAAACATTATTTTAAAGGTCTACGTTTATGTAGGCAACAACTAGAGTAATTCTCTGCATGAGTGTTTCCATGTGAGAAGTTAGAAGATTAATTATATGTAATAACAGATTGGTGAAGAGTAAAAGGAAATTGGAGTAATTTAAATGAAGACTGAAACCCTAAAACCATCCTTAACAGTACTTTACAATATATAAAGGTAGAAAATGGTGATTTTATTAATTTTACTGTGAAAAAGTAACATGACTAACTTAGAATATACTGGATGTAAGAAATATATTTCTTATTATAAGTCACAAGTTGCCAACAAAATGAATTCTGAAATTAATCTCTGAATTATTCATAATAAAGATTTGTATGTTTTGTTATTATGGAAGCAGTATCTTTTCATGTTATATTTCATGAACATTGCAACTTCTATCTAAAACCATGAGGCCAAGCTATCCAGTCTATCCTGTATTGACTCAGCAAGCCACTATCAGCAAAAAGACACGTCTTTTGCCCGTCTGGCCCTCAGTTATTGTGGCTCAGCATGAGGGTCCTGCTGCCTGCACTGAGAAGCTCCAGATAGACCCTGAGAAGTTCCAGCTACACCCTCTTCCCACCTGTAGCTACTTCCAGGTATGGTCCTCCCACATCCTTGAACAACAGTACACTACTTCTATGGACCAGAGCCAACCACACCCTATGAAACATACGTAGCCCGTAGCAAGGTACAGCTCCCTGTGGAAGTCATGCTCTTTCTGAAGAGGTCTGAAGCACAGCATATAAATAAAGGGATTCTACCAGTTCTTAGCTCCTTTGTTGTCCTCTCCTCTTCAGCCTAGATATAGTAATTGCCCTTTGGAATCTGCTATGTCTCTGGACCTCCAGTGTCCTTTTCCCTCCTCTCATCAATTAACCAACTTCTACCAGTACACAATCCTTTCTATTAATTTTTTTTTCTATTTCAGTAACCAGTGTGGTTTGAGTCACCTGACTGAACTCTGACTGATACAAATATTTAATAGTTGGCTCCAGTTTGCTAAAAAACTTTCTGCAATGTAATTCAATTTGTTGATGGAGTGTCACCCTATATCGACCTGTATCCTCCATTGACGTATCTGAATTGATGAGTTACATGGCAATGCTTAATTACCAATACTCATCTCTATAAGAATCACAAAAACAGGAAACATCAGAGCTTAAAAAAAATGACTCTTTTCTAACTTCATTGCATTATATCATCCTGAAGATATAAGAACCGAGAAAACACTTTGTACTTTTTAAAATGTGGCTATCATTTCTATAGCACCCTTTCTTACACGCCCACTTACCAACTATTGGTCAAATTCTTTCTTTGGAACCAACATTTGGAGTCTCTTATTCACAGTATACATAGAAAATGATTACTTTCTGCTTGCTACCTTAGCAGAATAATTGGAACAAATACATTTTAAGACTCACTCCAAGTGGTTCATTTGCAAGTATAAGTAAGTTGCTCGATGGATTTGGAAGTGTATCTTTTGTATGGCCAACTGTTCTTTTCTTAAAGTTAGTAAAGTTTCACAACTTTGAGGTTTGTGAAAAGGGAAAACTGTAATTTTAGCAGACAGTGTTGTTCTTAGGCGTGGACAAACTTGGGTTCTTGCCCAGCTTCCCAACTGTAGGATTGTGCTGCTCTGGAGCTTGCCAGGGCCTCTGTTTTCTGCTAATAGACCACAAGTTTTCTTGTGGGTTTTCTATTGTAAAGGATGATAAAAACAGATTCTTACAGAAAACTCAGTTGAAATGTACAGTGCTTATACCAGAAACACTGAAAAAAATGTCTTATTTTAGTATTCATGGCATTTCTCTTTTTTTTCATTTTTGGCAGAAAACAGAGGCACAGGCTGGCTCGGCTGGCACCTCAGCTCAAAAAAAAAAAAAAATAGACAAAAAAGAAAAAAAATAAAAAGAAAAATCAGAAGAAAGGAAAATCGAGGCACAGATGGCGCCAAACATTCTCAAAGACTCCATCATGAAAAGTTCTGAGAATACTCAGGGATTGGGCAGTCATCCTTTTAATGAAAGGTTTTTCAAAGATCTCTTCCTCCATTTAGGTTAGGGAAAGGAGACAGGTTGGGAAAGACTATTTAAAAAAGAAGATTAAATCATTCAAAATGAAAAGAGGAAAAGGACTTCATAGAAAATATTGTTGGCAACCTGAAATTCCCTGGATAATTACTCTAAGTGAAGAGTGAAAAATAGTCCTGGCCTCGGCCCATTTTTACTTCTTTTAGGTAGAACGTCACCAAAGTATGTATGAAAATGATAGATATATCAAGCACTTTCATTAGATACTCTAGATACATGAAGTCCAAAAAGGAATATATTAATCATTCTTGATGCCCGATCTAAGAAGCAATGATGCCATGATACTCTGATAGTTATATGAACGGCTCCCTTGCCCTACTCGACAGCATTGAATAGTGTAGAATAAAAGGTTTTAGTCATGATTCTGAAAAAACTTACATTCCAATTTCAAATAATTGCAAGCAGCCAAGGAAATAGAGTATATCTACTTATAAGCTTTTACTAAATTATTACACAATGGTAAGATTAAGGCTTACTTCCTAGTAATTTAGTAACTATATCACCTTCAAAAAAATAAATAACAGCAAGTAATATTTAATTGATGTAGAGTATCTATTCTCAACTTTAAGAGCCCCCTGAAATCCATTGATTCTGAAAGTCAGAATGAATTTGTGATTTTCCACAAGAGATAGCTTTCTTATTAAGAAAACAGTTTTAAAAGGCTGATTAGCAAATATCAAAGAGCTGCTGGGACAGATCATATTTAATGCAAGTGAATCAGGCTCAGTGAATACATTCTATTTCTTTAAAATATCATCCATCTAGATACCTTTCTACTCTCTGCCTAAATCTTTCGTCTGACTCCAGCACCCCAAAGGAATGTTTATTTCTTTCACACATCATCTCCAAGATCCAGCCCTCAGAAAGTGCAATAATACCTGTGATACAAGCCTCCCTGACTAAATACATCCTGCTGATTAGATACTGCTCATTTTCACGTTCTCAAAGGCACACTGGAGATACTTTATCTACAAACGTGTTTTTACAGGGGGAATCTCAAGCACTGTGGAGGATGATATGGGAGATTTGGGGAAAGGTAGGACCTTGTATCAATCTCAGATTATATCATTTTGCATCATAATCTAAATATACATATATGATGACCACATAGGTCCCAGAAATAAATTATGAAGTGTGGGATAAGAAGAATGTAGTCAATGATAAAATTAACACTGTGTCAAAGAATGCAGCTTCTGTTCCATTGAGATTATCATTACCATACAGAATATGGAGAAAGTGTTAACAGAGATTTCTATTTATCAAAATAAAGTAGAAATCTAGATTTGTATATGAATCCCCAGTTTTTAATTTGACTTTCAAAAAATTAATTGTGTAAAGAATGGTCAAAAAATGACTAAAAACTGAACACAACTTTTGACCATCGTTCTTTTAGGGGAAGCTGCCAACATGAAAGGCATTTCTCTGATAAAAGATTAAGGATCTGAATATTTCATGGCAGGAGGGGTGACTGGTTGGTAGGCACAAAGAAAGAGCTCCTAAACTTCAAAGTCAAGGAAATTCGATGAAGTCTGTGTGCTAGTCTGTATAGTTGATAACATTTAGTAAATGTAACAGCTCTCCAAATAATTTAGGAGCAAATGATTAATTACAAATTAAAACATTTTGATATAAATAATGATCAAGTAGATTAAGATTTTTCTTAAAGCTAAAAAACTTCTCTGCAAGTGATCCTTTCTTTTACTTGTTCCTGAATGATCATATCCGCCCATTGGCAGAGACAGAAAAACTAGCAAAAAAGAATAAAAGTTTATTGGTTGTTGTTGCTTGTTTGTTGCAGCATCACAGTGAAAAGCCTAACAGGCCAAATTTGCCATTTTCAAGTATTTGTGTGGCTTACCAAGGTGCACAGTGAAGATGTCTGTGGTACAGCGTTGCTTTTTATCTTAATGCTTTCTTTTTCATATCAAATTAAATTTTAACATTTGCTATTCTAGTTTCTATTCTAGTAGTAGTATCAAATAAGGAGGCAATAAGTGGAAAGACTGAGGTAAAATAAAACGGGTTAAATACAGAGATCATCAGAAAATAGCATGAACACATTATCCAACATTAGGCAAGAAAATTAATTATTTAATGTCATTGTCTATTAACCTAACAGTTAAAATAGGACCAAAATATACATAAAAATGAAATAAAACAATTAGGTAACACTTTAAATGGTTCATTATTATTAATTCATTTAGTATTCATTGTAACTGTGCTGGTCATAATGAATTCATTTGATATTAATGGGAATGTTCAGCAGCAATTTCATTATAATGCAGTTTTAATTCATGTGCTGTTAAAGTAAAGCAATACCAAAATTTTATTTATTTTTTGAATACTGTACATGATTTTTAACTTTTAGAAACATTATGACACTGATTGCATTTTTTAAATTGGGGTGAATAGCCCAGATTTAGGACAAATTACAATGTCTGCCTTGAGCAATACCAATGATACTGAAGTTGATAGAGGTTTCTGTAATTAAAATGTTCTATGACATTTGGAAAATGTAAAGGTTAATGGATACTATGAAATTTGTCATACATCAATATTTACTAATATTTAACTGTTTCGTGCAACAAAAACTATTCAGCATTTTGATATTTATATGGCAATAGCAAAGATCTTTTGGACTTTGCATCCTCTGCTTTTGTGAAAAGTTGGGAATAAATTATACATGTTGGGCATTTCATTGGAAGAGATTGTGATTTTAACCACCTCCAAAACTATTATCCAAACTTAAAAAGTATAGTTGATCTTGTGAGAAAAAAAGTCATCCTTTTTAGTGAAGGGTACTAAATTATTTATGAAAAATATTGAGTTTCTTATGTAAAATGTATTTATAGAATTGCAACCAAAAGGTTTGAATTAAAAACTTCAAAATGGCAGCAGAAATGTATTCAGTAGCATGTTTACTATTACTTTCTATACTATTATTTCATTCAGGGTGCAGCCTGTAAACCATTTTGCTAAACCATGTGGGAACTAATGACAACAGACAAACAACCAAAATCCACAGTCCAATTAACAGGCCCACTAAAAGAGCATTTAACCCCTTGGGCAATTATTCAGCAAGGCATCAGAAAGTAGCTGACCTTGAAATTTCTTAGTTGAAATGTTATGCTTTAATGCATTGTTCACAGACTGGGTGGCCTAGAGGTATAGTATATATAATTTTTGTATTCATCGTTATGGAAATAATTAGTTAGAATAAGGTTATCTTAAACAGCAATAGAGACTGCTTTCTGTCTCTCCAGCCTTGACTAGGAACTAAAAATTATTTAGAAGCAGATTTTATAAATTTAATCCATGTTGCTAATTTTCTTGCTATTTAAAATAATTCAGAAAGTAAATTAATAAAAATATCATGAAAGGAATAAAATAATTCATTTGAATATTATGAATTAATATTATTTAAGAAATAGACTTACCCTACTGTGTGGAACAGTTAAAATACTGGGCAAAATATGTGAAATAACAGTTTCATATCAAAGCAGACTTCAGTTTAGGGCTATTTTGCCTGATTCCTGAGGCTATAATAGACTTCTGAGTATTCCACCTGATGCCTGTCAATAATTTGTTTTCTTTCTTTTAGAGACCATAGTCCTGGTTGCCTATCAAAACTTTTCTACCATGGCTGGTATGGACAAAATGCATTCTTAGCACTTTACCCTAGACAGTTGTTCCCTCTCATTATTATGCAGTTATTTTCCCAGCCTTTGTAGTTTATTTGCACACATACACCGATTAGTACTTAGATGAAGGCTGATGGGGACACTGTAGATTCGTAAGGTTCTCTCTCTCTCTTTCTGTGCACTCCTCTCCTCTCTAGTACTTTGCTCTGTGAACTCTAGCTACATTGGTGTTTCCAAACTTTTTGTCCTCAGGAATCAAGCAAAATAGCCCTAAACTAAAGTCTGCTTTGATATGAATTAATGAAGCCTAAAAGCAAGTTTTAAAGGATAAACCTATTTCCAAGAAACTTAACTGTGACTAAGAAAAAAGTTTAGTGATATTTATAGAAATGCTTATAAAGTATCTAAGAAGATAGAATTTATAATGTATAAACTATAAATGATAAAATTAGTAGACAAAACCATTAAAACAGCTACTATAACCATGTTTCATATGTTTAAGAAGATAGAGAAAAGATTGAATATGTTAAGTAGAATTATGGAAAATTAAAGAGAGATACAAATCAAATGTCTAGAAATGAATATTACAATTCCTAAGGTGAAAAATACACTAAGGTTAGCAGAAAATTAGTTATTGCAGAAGAAAATAATAGCTTGAGAAAATAGCAATGTCAATTATTCAAAATTAAAAGAACCAAAAAGAAAAATAATGTCTCAGTGAGCTGTAGGATACTTTAAATCTGTCTAATATGCATGGAATTGGATTCCCAGAGGACAGTAGAAAGGGAAGGAAAAAAAATGTTTAAATACTTTTCCAAATTAGAAGAATAGTATAGCCACACAAATATAAGAAATTCAATGAACTCCACAAAATCACGAAAAAAGACACACTAAGGCACATCCTAATGAAATTCATTAAAACCGGTGATAAAGAGTAAATCTTAAAAGTAGATAGAGAACAAAGACATTATGTACAACGTAACAGATTTTTTGTCAGAAACAGTGCAAGCTAGAAGGTAGTGGAGAAATATTTTAAAATTCTGAAGCAAAACACACCCTGTTATCTGTACCCACCAAAAGCATCTTTCAGAAACAAAAGTAAAATAAAGGTTCACATATACAAAATATTTAAAAATTAGAGAAAGTAGATTGACTTCCACCATGTAAAATCTTAAAAAAGTATTTTACCAAATGGAATATAATACTAGATTGTAAGCTGGATCCATACAAATTAAAGAGCCCTGGAAATGGCATGCATGTTAGTAAATATGAAATATTTCATCTTATTTTTCATCTGTATAAAAATAATAGACTTCTCATCCAATTGTCTAAGTTTCTTGTAGATTCTGGATATTAGACCTTTGTCAGATGCATATTTTTTGGAAATTTTCACTCATTCTGTAGGTTGCCTGTTTACACTCTTCAGTTTCTTTCGCTGTGCAGAAGCTCTTTAGTTTAATTAGGTCCCATTCATCAATTTGCGTTTTTGTTGCAGCTGCTTTTAAGGATTTAGTCATAAATTCTTTACCAAGGCTGATGTCCAGAACAGTGTTTCTTATGATTTTGTTTCCCTAGGATTCTTATAGTTTATGGTCTTGCATTTAAATATTTAATCCATCTTGAGTTAAGTTTTGAGTCTAGTGAAAGATAGTGGTCCAGTGTTATTCTTCCACACGTGGATAGCTAACTGTCCCAGCACCATTTATTAAATAGGAAGTCCTTTCTCCAGTGCTTATTTTTGTTGACGTTGTCAAAGATCAAATGGCTGTAGGTGTGTGGTATTATTTCTGGGCTCTCTATTCTGCTCCGTTGGTCTTTGCGTCTGTTTTTGTACCCATACCATCCAGTTTTGGTTACTGTAGCCTTATAGCATAGTTTGAACTCAGGTAATGAGATGCCTCTGGCTTTGTTCTTTTTGCTTAGGATTGCTTTGGCTATTTGGGCTCTTTTCTGATTTCATATAAATTTTAGAATTTTTTTCCAATACTGTGAAAAATGATGTTGGTAGTTAGATAGGAATATTGTTGAATCTGTATATTGCTTTGAGTAGTATGGCCATTTTAATGATATTGATTCTTCCAATCCATAAATATGTAATGTTCTTCCATTCGTTCTTGTCATCTATGATTTCTTTCAACCGTGTTTTGTAGTTCTCCTTGCAGATATCTTTCACCTCTCTTTGGTTAGATGTATTCCTAGGTATTTTATCTTGTTGGGTGATTGTAAATGAGACTGTGTTCTTGATTGAACGCTCAACTAATAAATAACCCCATTAAAAAATGGGCAAAAGACAAGAACAGACACTTCTCAAAGGAAGACATACAAAAGGCCAACAAACATGACAAACATGCTCTACATCACTAATCATCAGAGAAATATAAATCAAAGCCGTAATGAATAGCATCTCACACCAGTCAGAATGGCTATTATTAAAAGGTGAAAAAGACAACAGATGTTGGGTAAAGCTGCAGAGAAAAGGGAATGCTTATACACAGTTGGTGAGAAGGTAAATTAGTTCAGCTGCTGTGGAAAGCAGTTTGGAGATTTCTTAAAGAACTTAAAATAGAACTGTGTCTGGAGTTGGTTCCTGTCAGTGGGTTCATGGTCTTGCTGACTTCAAGAATGGAGCCGCAGACCCTCGTGGTGAGTGTTACAGCTCTTAAATATGGCATGGACCCAGAGTGAGTGGTAGCAAGGTTTATTGTGAAGAGCGAAAGAACAAAGCTTCCACAGTATGGAAGGAGACCGGAGCAGTTTGCCACTGCTGGTGGGAGTGGCCAGCTTTTATTCCCTTATTTGCCCCCTCCCATGTTCCATTTTTGTCCCATCAGAGTGCCCTTTTTTCAATCCTCCCTGCAATTGGCTATCTCTAGGATCCTGCTGATTGGTGCGTTTTACAGAGCACTGATTGGTGCGTTTTACAGAGCACTGTTAGGTGCATTTTACAGAGTGCTGATTGGTACATTTTTACAGAGCTCTGATTGGTGCATTTTACAATCCCCTTGTAAGATAGAAAAGTTCTCCAGGTCCCCACTGGACCCAGGAAGTCCAACTGGCTTCACCTCTCAGAACTACCATTTGACCCAGCCATCCCATTACTGGGTATATATCCAAAGAAAAACTGCCAAGTAATATTACCACAGTAACACAGGCATGTTCATCACAGCACTATAAACAATGGCAAACCATGGTCAACCTAGGTGACCATCAGTGGTGGATTGGATTTTAAAAACTGTGGTGCTTATATACCATGAACTACTATGCAGGCATAAAAAGAACAAAATCCTGTTCAAGCAATTCTCCTGTCTCAGCCTCCCGAGTAGCTGGGACTACAAGCGTGTGCCACCACATCCACGAAATTAATTTTTTTATTTTTAGTGGAGATGAGGTTTCTCTGTGTTAGCCAGGATGGTCTCAATCTCCTGACTTGTGATCCGCCTGCCTTGGCCTCCCAAAGTGAAAAATAGATTTCTTAAAGCAAAATAATAACAATTAATTTTGCAAACAATAGCAAGTGTAGAAATAAATGTTTGACAATAACAACATTAAAGATGGGGGTAGTAAATAGGAAGTACAGTATTTTCAATATCTTACATATAAAATAGTGAAATATCAATTAAAGCTATAAAGTGATAAACTAAGAATCTACACCCTGAAGAATCCGCTTTAAAAGAAAACAAAAGAGTTATAGCTGATAAAAAAGATTTAAAACAAAACTTAAAAAATGATTGGAAAGAATATTGAAAAAGGGGAAAAGGTAACAAAGAACAGACGGGAAAAATAAACAAATATGTTGGTAGGTTCAATCTCAATTATATCAATAATCACGTTAAATGCAAATTGCCTAATCACCCCAACTAAAAGGCAGAGATTGTCAGACTTGATTTTTTTTTTTTTTTTTTTTTTTTTTTTTGAGACGGAGTCTCGCTCTGTCGCCCAGGCCGGACTGCGGACTGCAGTGGTGCAATCTCAGCTCACTGCAAGCTCCGCTTCCCGGGTTCACGCCATTCTCCTGCCTCAGCCTCCCGAGTAGCTGGGACTACAGGCGCCCGCCACCGCGCCCGGCTAATTTTTTGTATTTTTAGTAGAGACAGGGTTTCACCTTGTTAGCCAGGATGGTCTCGATCTCCTGACCTCATGATCCACCCGCCTCGGCCTCCCAAAGTGCTGGGATTACAGGCGTGAGCCACCGCGCCCGGCCCAGACTTGATTTTTTAAAAAGACCCAACCATGTTACTAAATAGATTAAATGCAAATGATGTTAAAATGATACTCCATGCTAACACTAATAATCAAAAAGAAGCTGGAATGACAATATAACTATTAGAAAAGGCAGATTGTGGAACAAACTATATTACAATAATGATAAAGGGGTCAATTTATCAAAATGACAAGAAAAATCCTATACATTCATATAGTTAATACAGATTTCAAATACATAAAATATAAACCTATAAATCTTTAATATATCTGGGAAACTCCAAATATTTAAAAACTATGTCATATATAATTATTTGTAAATATTTCAAAATAAGTATTTGGAAAGTATATAATGTTAAACTAAGTTTAATCGGTGGGCCAAAGAAGAAATAAAAAGTGATAGTCAAAAGTATTTTCAACTGAATGAAAATAAAAACACAATATATGAAATCTGTTAGATACTGCTAAAGCAATGATTAGAGGGCAGTTTTTGCTCTAGATGCTTATATTGAAAAGGAAAAGGGTCTCAAATCAATTACCTCAGCTTCCACTTTAAGAATAAAATAAAAGAGAGAAAAAATTAAATCCAAAGTCTGTAGAAGAAAATAAATGTAAAGATAAAGGTGGAAATCAGAAAAACAACAGAAAAAAAAAAACAGTGAAAACTACTAAATCTTGTTCTTTGATAAATTTAGTAAAATTTACAAATCTCTCTTTGGACTTATCAAGACAAAAAAAAAAAAACAAATTACCAATATTATGACGGAAAGATGTAACATAACTAGAGATCTTAGCGATATTTAAAGCCAAGGAGGTATTATAAGCAACCCAATACTATGGTGTCTTAGTAAAGGTGTCAATTCCACATAAACTCTTTGAGAAAACTAAAAAGAAAGTTAGCATTACCCTGATACCAAAACCAAGCAAAGACAACCAAAGGGAAAACTGTAAGCAAATATATTCAATGAATACAGATATAAAAATTATTAATAAAATGTAAGCACATTAAATTCAGCATTTTATAAAAAGACTAGTACTTTATGATCGTCAGGTTTGAGAAATGCAAAATTGATTTAACATTAAAAAATCAGTCAATACAATATACTCTATTTAAAGGCTAAAAAAGAAAAATTATATGATTCTATCAATATATGCAAAAAATTCAACAAAACCAAAATTCATTCCTGTGAAAAACTCTCCTCTGAGAAAACTAGGACCACAAAGTAACATTTTTAAGCAGATGAACCTTGAAACCTACAGCTAATATCACGGTTAATGGTAAAAGGGTGAATGCTTCTCCTGTAAGATCATGAACAAGGCAAAGATAGATGCTTGCACCACTTATATTAAACATTCGGTTCTTTATAAATCTATTTTCCCATTTAATGTTAATTAAATAATACATTTTAAGCACCAGTGATGAAAAAATTGTATTAGCTAATCTAGAGGTCATTTTACAAGAGTAAAACTAGTGTAAACTATTATTATTATTTTTGAGGCAAGAGTCCTCAAAAACCAAAAAATTCAGATATGCTTAGGTATTTAATTGCAGGACTTAACACAAGGAGGGCTTATGAGAACAAAAGCAGGATGGAGCAAGTAGAGCTGCTGTTATATAATTCTCAATGTTTTTGCATCATCAGCAGGATGCTAATGGTAGGAAGTATCCTTCTGTTTCTCCCTTGTTACAGCCCATACTGCAAATACTCCCCCTGACTTAACAGCCAAAACAGGACAATTTATTCCATCCTCCTTAAATTCACTAAGTTTCCCTACTCATAAAACGGCACCACTATCTGTCCAATTAGTTCCTTACACCAAAACCCATTGTGATCCTTTCATTTTAAACTTTTCTTCACATCTAATATTTTGTTCAATAGTTAAGTACTATCTACAAGAAAAATTAATCCTGAATCCATTAGTTATTATCTTCAATATAATCTTAGTCCTAGATATTATTACCTCTTGCCTGAACTACTGCGGCAGCCTTCTCTCCGTTTTCACTGTGATGCATTCTCAATTTACAATAACCCTCCCTAGAAGCATGCTCGAGTGATTTTCTAAATTACAAGTTGGATAATATCATGCACCTACTTAAAAACCCATCAATGCTCCCCATCTCCACCAGAATAAACTTTAAACTCCTTACCATGGGCTACAAGGCTGTACAAGATTCAGACTTGTTCCTGTTCCTTAGACTTCAGACTTCATCTTTCTTTTCTTTTCTCTTCTCTTTTCCCATTGCTCATCCACACAGGCTTTCCTTCTGTCTTATTAACACATATGCTCTTGCCCATCTCATAGCTTTTGCATTTTGTGTCTCTTCTGCTTGGAAAGTTCTTCTCTACATCTTCACATGACTACACCCAGTCTTACCTAACCACTTCTTCTATGAGACCTTTCTTGATTACCCTAACTCAAGCACAGTCTCTCACTCCAGCTGTCACTTGCTATCACATTATCATCTATTTAATATTACTTAGAGGGCAAGGTCTTAATCTCACTTGCCCCACAGCACCTACAACAGTGACTGGCAATTGGTAAACCCTCAATAAAATGTATTCAGTGAGTGACCAAGTAACAGTGACTCAGGAAAATGCAGGAACTCTATGAGGTATAAAATAAGCTATGTTCTCGGTAAACAACAGTAAACAACTGGCAGAAGTAAGAAAAATGAATTTCAAGTATTCAGTTTCTTTATTCTTAAATAAAAAGCAGAGTAAACTTATTGGTAATGACATACTATATGAGGGTCTTGCTCTCTAAAAACGGCCTTCCTCCTTCCTGACTTACAGATTGTAAGTCTGTGTTTTTAAAGTTATAATTCTCTGTGAGAAGATGAATTATATGCATGACTATTTTACTGTTGTTCACTTTTGCATCTATCAACCTGAGGAGAAATGTCTTAGAGACAAAATAAACTGGTTTTAATCTCTTATTGATTGTTTCTTGTGTTTTTGACTCCACGGACAGTATTCTGCAATGGATTAACGTGAATGAGGTCAGTATTGGCTTCTGGTTGTTGTTTTTCATTCAGGTTCAAGAATAAGGGTCAGTGAGAATGTTCTGTAGGGAAATCAAATAAAGTAGATTTGTATCTTCCATCCTCCTCCTATTAGCATATTTTAATGACTTAATATCTTATGGACACAGCCAGGTCATTCATTAAGTGAAGCTGCTACTATATAACTTAAAAAAATTGGAAGCCAAAAACATCATTTATGTGAAATGTCTTTGTGCTCCCTTTACATAGATAACAAAGTACCTTGCAGGAAGGTGAGTTAGCCTCCTTCTCCTCTCCCCCAACACTTCGGAAACTGGTGAAGTGAGGTCATAAGTGAGTTAGCAAACAGCCAAAACTTCAATTAAGGACATCTACATGTAATCTCCCATACAGGTCTGCAATATAATGGTAATTTATTATGAGAAAATCTAAATAATTGCATTGTGCCTCCTCTTATCGGAATAGTATTTCAAAGTGGTGAACAGCCTAGAGCTGCATTTCCCAATATGCAAACATTAATAGGTATGACTAAAGTATGGAGTTCAAAGTCCATACTCTAAAACTGACCACATAATTGGACATAAAACAATCCTCAACAAATGCGAAAGAACTGAAATCATACCAAGCATACTTTCAGACCACAGTGAAATAAAAATAGAAGTCAAGACCAAGAGCATTGCTCAAAACCATGCAATTAAATAAAAATTAAACAACATGCTTCTGAATTATTTGGGGGTAAATAAGAAATTAACATAGAAATCAAAAATTTCTTTGAAACTAATGAGAAAAAAGAATCTCTGGGACACTGCTAAGGCAGTGTTAAGAGGGAAATTCACAGCACTCAATGCCCACATCAAAAAGTTAGAAAGATCTCAAATTAACAACCTAACATCATAACTGAAAGAATTTGAGAAACAAGAACAAATCAACCCCAAAGCTAGCAGAAGACAAGAAATAACCAAAATCAGAGCTGAGCCAAAGGAAATTGAGACATAAAGAACCATTCAAAAGATTAATGAATCAGACAGATAGGCAAAGAGCTACAGTAATAAAGAAGAAAAGAGAGAAAATCCAAATAAACGTGATTAGAAATGATGAAGGGAATGTTACCACTGACCCCACAAAAATAAAAATAACCATCAGAAACTACTCTGAACACCTCTATGCACACAAACTAGAAAACCTATGTTTTAGTCCATTTTCACACTGTTGATAAGGACATACCCAAAACAGGGCAATTTATGAAAGAAAGAGGTTTAATGGACTTACAGTTCCACATGGCTGGGGAGGCCTCAAAACTATGATGAAAGGCAAGAAGGAGCAAGTTACACCTTACTTGGATGGCGGCAGGCAAGAAAAGCTTGTACAGAGAAACTCCGCCTTATAAGGCCATCAGATCTCATGAGACTAATTCACTATCATGAAAACAGCACGGGAAAGACCTGCCCCCATGATTCCATTACCTCCCACCAGGTCCCTCCCACAACACATGGGAATTCAAGATGGGATTTGGGTAAGAACAGAGCCAAACCATATCATTTCATGCCTGGCCTCTCCCAAATCTCATGTCCTCATATTTCAAAACCAATCATGCCTTCCCAACAATTCCCCCAAAGTCTTAACTCATTTCAGCATTAACTCAAAAGTCCACAGTCCAAAGTCTCATCCTAGACAAGGCAAGTTCCTTCCACCTATGAGCCTGTAAAATCAAAAGCAGGTTCATTGCTTCCTAGATATAGTAGGGGTCCAGGCACTGGGTAAATACAGCCATTCCAAATGGAAGAAATTGGCCAAAACAAAGGGGCTATAGTCCCCATGCAAGTCCAAAATCCAGTGGGGCAGTCAAATCTTAAAGCTCCAAAATGATTTCCTTTGACTCCAGGTCTAACATCTAGGTCATGCTGATGCAAGAGGTGGGTTCCCATGGTCTTGGGCAGCTACACCCTTGGGGCTTTGCATGGGACAGCCTCCCTCCTGACTGCTTTCACAGGCTGGCATTGAATGTCTGCAGCTTTTCCAGGCGCATGGTGCAAGCTGTCAATGGATTTACCATTCTGAGGTCTGGAGGATGGTGGCCCTCTTCTCACAGCTCCACACGGTGGTACCCCAGTACAGACTCTGTGTGGGATATCTGACCCCACATTTCCCTTCTGCACTGCCCTAGCAGAGGTTCTCCATTTGAGCCCCACCCCTGCAGCAAACTTCTGCCTAGACATCCAGGCAATTCCATATATCCTCTGAAATCTAGGCAGAATTTCCCAAACCCCAATTCTTGACTTCTGTGCACTGGCAGGCTCAGCGTCATGTGGAAGCTGCCAAGGCTTCAGGCTTTCACCCTCCTTAGCCACAGCCCAAATTCTATGTTGGCCCCTTTCAGCCATGGCTGGAGCAGCTGGGATGCAGGGCACCAAGTCAAGAGGCTGCAGACAGCATGGGGACCCTGGGCCTAGCCCAAAAAACCACCTTTTCCTCCTATGCTTCTGTGCCTGTGATGGAGGGGCTGCTGTGAAAATCTCTGAAAATTCCTGGAGACATTTTCCCCATTATCTTGGTGATTAACATTTGTTTCCTTGTTTCTTATGCAAATTTCTGCATTTGGCTTGACTTTCTTCTCAGAAAATGGGATTTTCTTTCCTATTACATTGTCAGGCTGCACATTTTCCAAACTTTTATGCTCTCTTTCCGTTATAAAACTAAATAGCTTTAACAGCACCCAAGTCACCTCTTGAATGCACTGCTGCTCAGAAATTTCTCCTGCCAGATACCCTAAATCATCTCTCTCAAGTTTGAAGTTCCACAGATCTCTAGGGCAAGGGCAAAATGCTGCATTCCCTTTGCTAAAACATAACATGAATCACTTTTGCTCCAGTTCCCAACAAGTTCCTCATCTTCATCTGAGACTACCTCAGCCTGGATTTCATTGTCCACATCATTATCAGCATTTTGGTCAAAGCCATTCAGGAAGTCTCTAGGGAGTTCCAAACTTTCCCCCATTTTCCTATCTTCTTATAGGCCCTCTAAACTGTTCCAACCTGTTCCTGTTATTCAGTTCCAAAGTCACTTCCACATTTTTGGGTATGTTTTCAGCGGTGCCCCACTCTCTTGGTACCAATTTACTGTAGTTATTTTCATGCTGCTGATAAAGACACACCCAAGCCTGGACAATTTACAAAAGCAACGGGTTTAATGGACTTACTGTTCTACATGGCTGCGGAGGCCTCACAATCATGGTGGAAGGCAAGGAGGAGCAAGTTACATCTTACGTGGATGGCAGCAGGCAAAGAGAGAGCTTGTGCAGAGAAACTCCATCTTATAAGGCCATCAGATCTTGTGAGACTTATTCACTATCATGAGAACAGCACAGGAAAGACCTGCCCCCATGATTCAGTTACCTACCACTGGGTCCCTCCTACAACATGTGGGAATTCAAGATGAGATTTGGGTGGGGACACAGCCAAACCATATCAATCTAGAAGAGATGGATAAATTCCTAGACATGTACACCCTCCCAAGACAGAACCAGGAAAAAATTGATTTCCTGAACAGACCAATAAGGAGCTCTGAAATTGAATCAGTAATAAATAGCCTACCAACAGGGAAAAAAAAATCCCAGGACCTGATGGATTCACAGCTGAATTCTACCAATTATGTACAACGAGCAGCTGGTACTTTTCCTACAAAAACTATTCCACAAAAATAAGGAGTAGTAACTTTTTCCCAACTCATTCTATGAGGCCAGCATCATCCTGATACCAAAACCTATGAGACACAACAAAAAAGAACACTTCAGGTCAATATCCTTAGTGTACTTTGATACAAAAATCCTCAACAAAATACTAGCAAACTGAATCCAGCAGCAAACCAAAAACTTAATCCACCATGATCAAGCAGGCTTCATCCTTGGGCTGCAAGATTGGTTCAACATGCAATTCAACAAGTGTTATTAATCACATAAACAAAACTAAACGCAAACACCACCATATCTCAATCAATCCAGAAAAGACTTTTGATGCATTTCAACACCCCTTCAAGTTAAAACCTCTCAATAAACTAGGTATTGAAGAAACATAACTCAAGTAATAAAAGTCATCTGTTTCAAACCCGCAACCAACATCATACTGATTGGGCAAAAGCTGAAAGCATTCCCCTTGAAGACCTGAACAAGGTAAGGATGTCCTCTCTCACCACTCCTATTCAACACAGTAGTGGAAGTCCTAGCCAGAGCAATCAGGCAATAGAAAGAAATAAAGGGCATCCAAATAGGAAGAGAGGAAGTCAACTATCTCTATTTGCAGACAATATGATTCTTTATCTCGAAAATCCCATAGTCTCTGCCCAAAAGCTCCTTGATCTGATAAACAACTTCAGCTAAGTTTCAGGATACAAAATCAACGTACAAAACTCACGAGCATTTTTATACAACAATAACAGCCCAGGCAAAAGCCAAATCAGAAAGGCAATCCCATTTATAATTGCCACAAAATGAACAAAATACCTAGAAATACAGCTAACCAGGGAGGTGAAAGATCTCTACAATGAGAATTATAAAACACTGCTCAAAGAAGTCAGAGATGACACAAGTGGAAAAACATTCCGTGCTCATGGATAGGAAGAATCAATATCATTAAAATGGCCATACTGCTCAAAATAATTTACATATTCAATACTATTCCTATGAAACTACCAATGACATTTTTCACAGAACAAGTAAAAAGCTAATTTAAAATTCATATGGAACCATAAAAGTGCCCAAATAGCCAAAGCAACTGTAAGCAAAAAGAACAAAGCTGGAGGCGTCATGCTACCTGACTTAAAACTACACTACTATATTATACTACCAATGACATTTTTCACAGAACAAGAAAAAAGCTATTTTAAAATTCATATGGAACCAAAAAAGTGCCTGAATAGCAAAAGCAATTCTAAGCAAAAAGAGCAAAGCTGGAGACGTCATGTTACCTGACTTAAAACTGTACTACAGGGGCACAGTAAGCAAAACGGCATAGAACTGGTATAAAACCAGACACACAGACAAATGGAAGAGAATAGAGAGCCCAGAAATAAGACCACATACCTACAATCCCTGATTTTTTTTGACAAGCTGACAAAAATAATCAATGGGGAAAAGACGTTCTGTTCAATAAATGGTGCTGGGATAACTGGCTAGCTATATGTAGAAGACTGAAGCTGGACCCCTTCTTTACTCCATATGCAAAAATCAACTCAATATGGATTAAAACTTAAATGTAAAACCGAAAACTATAAAAACTCTGGAAGAAAACCTAGGGAATACTATCTTGGACACAAGAAGGGACAAAGATTTCATGACAAACACACCAATCGCAACAAAAGCAAAAATTGACAAGTGGGATCTCATTAAACTTACGAGATTCTGCATAGCAAAAGAAACTATCAATGGAGTAAATAAACAACCTACAGAATGGGAGAAAATATTTGCAAACTGTGCATCTGAGAAAGGTTTAATATCCAGCATCTGTAAAGAACTTAAACAAATTTACAGGAGAAAAACAATCCCATTAAAACATGGGCAAAGGACATGAACAGACACTTCTCAAAAGAAGACATACATGCAGGCAACAAGCATATGAAAGAAGCTCAATATCACTAATCATTAGGGAAATGCAAATCAAAACCATATTGAGATACCAGCTCACACCAGTCAGAATAGCTATTATTAAAAAGTCAAAAAGTAACAGATGCTACAAAAATTACAGAGAAAAGGGAAGACTAACACACTGTTGGTTGGAGTGTAAATTACTTCAACCATTGTGGAAAGCAGTATAGTGATTCCTTAAAGAGCTAAAAGCAGAACTACCATTCAACCCAGCAATCCCATTACTGGGTATGTACCCAGAGAAATATAAATCATTCTACCACAAAGACACATGCACAAGAATGTTCATTACTGTACTAACACAATATCAAAGACATAGAATCATCCTAAATGTCCATCAATGGTAGATTCGATTAAGAAAATGTGGTACATATACACTATGAAATACTATGCAGCCATAATAAAGAAGGAGATCATGTATTTTGCAAGAACATGGATGGAGCTAAAGGCTCTTATCCTTAGCAAAATAACACAGGAACGGAAAACCAAATACTGCATGTACTCCCTTATAAGTGGAAGCTAAACAATGAAAACTTATGAACACAAAGAAGAAAACAACAGACACTGGGATCTACTTGAGGGTGGAGGGTGGGAGGAGCGAGAAGAGCAGAAAAGATAACTACTGATGCTCGGCTTAATAACTTGGTGATAAAAAAGAAAATCTGTACAACAAATCCCCATGACATGACTTTACCTGTGTAACAAACCTTCACATGTACACCAAAACCTAAAGTAAAAGTTAAAATGACAATAACAAAAAGAAATAATGGCAAAACCTTCCTTACTGTGTTGCAGGAAATGTACATCTAGATTCAAGAACTCCAAATTTCCCAAGTAAAATAAGTCTAAAGAAGATCTCACCAAGATAGATAATAATCAACTTGTCAAAACTCAAAGACAAACAGAATTTCAGGAGCAGTAAGATAAAAGCAACTAATCACATACAAGAGAGCTTTTGTAAGAATACAAATAAATTTCTCAGCAGACATCTTATAAGGATTGTGATTATCTTTTTGAGGTGTTAAAAGTAAAAAATAAGCCTGCCAACTAAGAATACTACACTCATCAAAACTTACCTTGGAAAATAGTAGTGAGAAAAACTATTTCTTATAAACATAAGCTAAGGGAGTCTACCACTAGATCTACATTATAAGAAATGTCAAAGGGAGTCTTTCAAGTTGAAACAAAAAGACAGTAAACATAAAACAAAAACATAAACATAAAAACAAAACAAAAACATAAAAACAAAAGCACACAATAATATAAAGCCCACGGACAAAGATATATATATATCTTTGTATATATTATGTATATTATATATTGTATATATTATGTATATTATATATTATATACATAATATATATTATATATTATATACATAATATACAATATAATATATTATGTATATAATATATATTATGTATATAATATATGATATATATTATGTATATTATATATTTTATATATAATATACACTATGTATAATATATGTTATATAATAAATAATATATATTATACCTAATATATATTGTATACATAATATATATTATACATAATATATAATACACATATATATTACACTAATATATATTATATATAATATATATTATGCATAATATATATTATATATAATATATATTATGTATAATATATATTATATATAATATATATTATACATAATATATATTATATATAATATATATTATACATAATATATATTAAATACATAATATATTATATATAATATATCATATATATTACATAATATATATTATACATCATATATATTACATAATATATATTATACATATTATGTATAATACATATGTATATGTATATGTATATGTATAATACATATACATAAAATTATGTATAATATATTATGTACATAATATATTATATATATTATATATGTATGTAATACATAATATATAATATATTATATACATATTATATTATATATTATTATTATTAATTATTAATATATACAAATATATATTTTATATATATTTATATGTAATATATGTTTATATATTATATATAATATATAATATATGTTTATACTTTATATATAATATATAATATATGTTTATACGTTATATATAATATAAAACATATGTTTATATGTTATATATATTATATAATATATGTTTATAAGTTATATATATTGTATAATATATGTTTATATGTTATATATTATATAATATATGTTTATATGTTATATATATTATATAATATATGTTTATATGTTATATATATTATATATAATATATTTATATATATTATAGATATTATATATAACATATTTATATAGATTTTATATATTATATATATGTTTATATATATCTTATATATTATATATAATATATGTTTATATATAATATATATTTTTATATATTATATATATTTTATATATAATATATATATTTATATATTATATATATTTTATATATATTATATATGTTTATATTATATATATATTTTATATATAATATATATGTTTATATATTATATATATTTTATATATAATATATATGTTTATATATTATGTATATTTTATATATAATATATATTTTTATATATTATATATTTTATATAATATATATATAATATATATAATATATATAAAATACATATATATTATATAAAATATATAATATATATAATATAAATATTTTATATATATAATATATATATTTCATATATATAATATATATAAAATACATATATATTATATAAAATATATAATATATATAAAATACATATATATTATATAAAATATATAATATATATAATATAAATATTTTATATATATAATATATATATTTCATATATATAATATATATTATATAATATATGTAAAATATATATAATGTATAGTTTATATTATATATGTATTTTTATATATAATATATATTTATATAAAATATATTATATATATTATATATATTATATAATATATAAAATATATTATATATATTTATTATATATATAATATATATTTTATGTATATAATATATTTATTTTATATATTATATATTTTATACATAGTATATATATTTTATCTATATATTTTATATATAATATATATATTTTATATATATTATATGTAATATATATTTTGCATATAATATATTTTATATATAATATATATTTTATCTATTATATATTATATATAATATATACTTTATATAATATATGTTATATATAATATATGTATTTTATAAATAATATATGTGTTATATATAACATATATATTATATAATATATGTTATATTTAATATATATATTATATATAATATATATGTTATATTTAACATATATTATATAATATATATGTTATACATAATATATATATTATATAATATATGTTATACATGATATATATATTATATAATATATGTTATACATGATATATATATTATATATCATATATATGTTATACATGATATATATATTATATATCATATATATGTTATACATGATATATATATTATATATCATATATATGTTATACATGATATATATATTATATATCATATATATGTTATACATGATATATATATTATATATCATATATATGTTATACATGATATATATATTATATATCATATATATGTTATACATGATATATATATTATATATCATATATATGTTATACATGATATATATATTATATATCATATATAGGTTATATATGATATATATATTATATATCATATATAGGTTATATATGATATATATATTATATGACATATGTTATATATAAAATATATATTTTTATATATGACATATATGTTATATATAAAATATACATTTTATATATGACATATATGTTATATATTATATATATTTTATATATGACATATATGTTATATATAATATATATTTTATATAACATATATGTTATATATAATATATATTATATATAATATATATGTTATACATGCTATATATATTTTATATATAATATATATGTTATACGTAATATATATGTTATACCTAATATATATGTTATATGTAATATATATGTTATACGTAATATATATGTTATATATTATATATGTTATACGTAATATATATGTTATATATTATATATGTTATACATATTATATATGTTATATATAATATAGATGTTATACATATTATATATGTTATATATATGTTATACATATAATATATGTTATATATATTATATATGTTATACATATAATATGTTATATATATTATATATGTTATACATATAATATGTTATATATATTATATATGTTATACATATAATATGTTATATATATTATATATGTTATACATATAATATGTTATATATATTATATATGTTATACATATAATATGTTATATATATTATATATGTTATACATAATATATATGTTATACATAATATATATGTTATACATAATATATATGTTATACATAATACATATGTTATACATAATATATATGTTATACATATTATATACATTACATATATAGTATATACGTTACATATATAATATATACGTTATATATAATATATACGTTATATATAATATATACGTTATATATAATATATACGTTATATATATAATATATACGTTATATATAATATATACGTTATATATAATATATACGTTATATATATAATATATACGTTATATATATAATATATACGTTATATATATAATATATACGTTATATATATAATATATGTTATATATATTATATATACGTTATATATAATATATATGTTATATATGTTATATACGTTATATATAATATATATGTTATATATGTTATATATATTATATATAATATATATAATATATAATATATGTTATATATGTTATATATATTATATATATTATATATGTTATATATGTTATATATATTATATATATTATATATGTTATATATGTTATATATATTATATATATTATATATGTTATATATGTTATATATATTATATATTATATATATTATATATTATATATAACATATATTGTTATATATATAATACATATTATATATATATACACACACACGTATACATACAAATAAGGAGATATGTAATACTAAAACAGTGGTGCATAATTCACTTTAAATTCTGGTATAAAAGTTAACAGAAAAAAGTATTAAACATTATAACTATATAAATTATTAATGAATACACAACATAAAAAGATGTAACTGTGACATCAGTAATACATAGTGTGGATACAAAAGAGGTGAAAGTATAGAGGTTTCCTATGCAGTTGAAGTTAAGTTTTGATCAGATTAAATATATTATAATAAGTATAAGTTGTTTTATGTGACTCCACGTAACCATTTCATAAATGTCTATAGAAAATCACAAAAAATAAGAAAGATATCAAAGCATGTCACTCCAAAAAAAAACCCCAATGAAATACAAAAAAAGACACAATGAAATACAAAAAAAGATAGCAATAGAGGAAAATAGAGATGGATTAAACTTTGCACCCAAGAAACATAGAGTGGCTGAGTGGGTTATTTTATTAAAGATAGCCAACTCTATTCTGTCTAAAAGAGACTCACTTTAGCTGTAAAGTCACACATAGGCTGAAAGTGAAATAATGGAAGAGAGATATTCTATGCAAATGATTACCAAAAGAAAGCAGAGGTGGCCATATTTATATAAGACAAAAGAGACTTTAAGTAAAAAATGTGCACAAGAGACAAAAAAAGACACTACATAATAAGAGCATAGTCAATTCTCCAGGATAATATGACAATTATAAATATATGTGCATGCAGCATCAGAGCACTTGAATATGTAAAACAAACATTGACCTAACTGGAGGAAAAAATAGAAATCCACACCATAATAGTAGGAGATTTCAATACCCCACTTTCAATAATATGTACAATATTAATATGGAAGATCAAGAAAGAAACAGGAGACTTGAACAATGCTATAGACAAAACGGACATAACAGACATACACAGAATATTCTACCCAATAGCAACGGATGACACGTTCTTCTCAAGTACATAAAGAATATTCTGCAGAATAGATTACATGTTAGGTCACAACAAGTCTTAACAAATTGAAAAAGATTTTATCCTTTTTCTGTTTTGAAACAGGATCTCATACTATTATACAGACTGGAGTACAGGGGCACTATCATGGCTCACTGCAACCTCGACCTACCATACTCAACTGATCCACCTGCTTCAGCCTCTGGAGTAGCTGGGACTACAGGTGCGCACCACCATGGCCTGGGAATTTTTTATGTGTGTATTTCATGTAGAGACAGGATATCTCCACGTTGCCCTGGATGGTCTCAAAGTCCTGGGCTCAAACGATCCACCCGCCTCAGCTTCCCAAAGTGCTTCAGTTACAGGTGTGAGCCACCACACCCACCCAGGGGATTGAAACTATAACAGGTATCTTTTCCAAACATAATGGAATGCAACTAGGAATCAATAGCAGATGGAAAATGTACAATTCACAAATATGTGGAAATTGAACATACTCTTAATAACAAATGGGTCAAAGAAAAAATAAAAGAGGAAGTAAGAAAACATCTTGAGACAAATGGAAATGAAAACACATTATATCAAGCATATTCAATTCAGTAAAAGTAGTACCAAGGGAGAAGTTCACAATGATTAAATGCCTACATTTAGATAATAGGAAGATCTTAAAGAAGCAACCAAATTCTATACCTCAAAGAATTAGAGAAAGAAGAACAAACTAATTCCAAAGATAGCAGAGGAAAGAAAATGATAAATGTTAGAGCAGAAATAAAATAGAGACTAGAAAAACAATAGAAAAAAATAAACTAAGAGTTTATAAATCTTTGGTTAAACTTAAAAAAAAGAGAAACTATTCAAATAAATAAATTATCAGTAATGAAAGAGGAAACATTTCAAATGATGACCAGAGGAAAAAATAAAAGAATTATGAAACTGCTAGAGAGTGAATCAGTAATCAAAAACCTCCCAAGAAACCTCCAGAACCAGATGGCTTCATTGGTGATTTCCACCAAACATTTAAAGAATAACTAACGCCAAACTTTTCTAAACTTGTCCAAAATTTGAAGAGGAAAGGACACTTTTGTACTCATTTAATGAGGCCAGCTTCATCTGATACCAAAGCCATACAAAGACACTGCAAGAAAAGAAAACTGTAGGCCAATATTCCTAATGAATACAACTTTAAAAATTTTCACAAAATATAGCAAACTGAATCTAACAGTACGTAAAAGGATAATACACCATGGACAGGTCGGATTTATTCTTGGGGGTCAAGGGTAGTTCAAGATACCAAAATCAATTAATGTGATACACCATATTAACAGACTAAAGGGTAAAAATCACATGATCATCTCCTTAGACACAAAAATAAAGTTTGACAAATTTCAGCACCTTTTCAATATAAAAATGCTCAATGAACTAAGAGTAGAAGGAAAGTACCTCAACATAATAAAGGCCACATATGAAAATCCCTCAGTTACCATCATGCTCAATGGTTAAAGAAATTGTAAGAGAAGAAATAAAATTATTGGTTTGCAGATGACATGATCTTTTATGTATAAAGTTCCTAAAAACTTAACGACAACAAAAAGCCTCTTAGAAATAACAAACAAATTCAATAGCGTTGCAGAATACAAAATAAATATATAAAAACAAATTGTGTTTTCATACACTAAAAATGAGTTTAAGAAGGAAATCAAGAAGAAAATCTTATTTACAATAGCATCCAAAAGAATAAAATGTTTAGAAATAATCAAGAGGCAAAAGATCTGCATGCTGAAAACTACAAAACATTGTTGAACAAAATTAAAGACAATATATATTGGAAAGACAATACATGCAGTGGAGGGACATCATCGTATGTTTATTAATTTAAAGACATTATTGAGATGTCTATACTACCCAATGTGATCTACAAATTAAATAGACTTCCTATCAAAGTCTCAATGGTGTTTTTTACAAAAACAGAGAAAACAATCACAAAACTCATATGGAATCCCAGCAGACTCTGAATAGCAGAAACAATCTAGAAAAAGAGCAAAGTTAAAGGCTTTATAATTCCTGGTTTCAAAACACATTAAAAATCTACTGTAGTCAAACTATATGATGCTGCCATAGAGACAGACATATCAATAGAATAGCATAGAGAGTCCAGAAATAAATTCATTTGTACACAGTCAACTGATCTTTGGCAAGGGTGCCAAGAATACACAATTGGGAAAGGATAGTCTCTTCAATAAATGGTGTTAGGAAAACTGGATCTCCACATGCAAAAGAATGAAATTGGACCTTTATCTTATACCATACACAAAAATAAACTCAAGATGGATTAAAGACTTAAATGTAACACCAAAAATTGAAAAATTTCTAGAACACAGGGGAGAAGATCCTTAATAGTGGTCTTACCAATGATTTCTTAGATATAATGCTTAAAAATGTAGAAAATAAAAGCAAAAATAGAAAAGTCTGACTATGTCAAATTAAAAAGCGTCTGCATAGCTGAATATCTGTATGAATTCAAGTATGGACCTAGGCTACACATTTCATAGAGCAAATCAATACAGTGCAGGTGGGAACAAAACTATCTCTATTACCCAAATGGATTATTGATATTAATTCTATTTTATTATAAGGGTTTGATGCATTCCATATTGAGAGCAGTTCCAAAACATTTTTTGACAGGTGATCATCCATAAGTGTCAACCTAGCCAATTAAAAAACCATTTGCTAAACTAAACTGTGTCATCATTCAGAAGTTTTTTTGGACCATGGACTATAAGCTTAACTCTTCTGATCTAAGTTATGAATTTTATATGAGCATTTAACTGCTTAATACCTCTCATGAGCTTCAGGCTCATATTCTCCAAAGATTTCTCAATATCATTTATTGATTGTCTATAGATATCTTAAATTCTATATTTTCTATATTAAATTCTATATACCAAATATCGTATTGCTTTTATTTCTACTAATATTAATTGCTTCTCTCCAATTCCCTTCTCTACACCCTTGTTGTTATTGCCAGAGTGGTCCTTCTTTAATTTTACCTGAATTATTCCAATAATCTTGCAACAAAATAACAGAAATCATTTCTGAGCCTTTTTCCTCTATTTCTTTACAACTGAAAGATATACATGCTGCCATAAATGCTAGTGGATCACTAAAACAATAATTCTCAATAAAGTAGCACTTTGATCTCCAGAAACATCCCCTATTATCTTCAAGGAACAAAAAAATTCAACATGCAATGGCTTAAATAAATGGCAGTTTATTTTTAATTAGTTTTTTAACAAGAATTCTGGAGTAGGGCTGCCGTAGACAACTAAAATATGTCAGCTGACTATAATTTTCTTGGATATTCTGGACACAAAGTGGCTGTGCAATTCTAGGAATCACCTCTTTATTCAAGACAGAAAGAAGGATTAAGGAGAAGTACCAACAGTATGCCCCTTTAATCAGGAAAGTTCTCCCAGAACTTCTGGGCAGACTAATGCTTACATCTTATTAGCCTGAGTAGCCACATACACAATCCTCCTTGCAAGAGAGACAAGTTAAGTATCATTTTTTCACCCACCACAGTGGAGAAAAAGAAAAAGAAAAGGTGATTGAGCTAGCCAATTCCTGGAGTCTGCCATGTCACCCCAGAAAACTGTGTCCCATCTATGTTGAGAATTACTGTATGAAGGTCCTCACTGTAATCCCTCTATTCTCCATCTCTGCCACCAGTATCCCCTTTTCTTAAAAAAATGTGACCATGCACAATTTTGTCTAAAATATTTAGTGGACTCTTCCCTTCTACACTAACAGCAGCTTGGTCCACTATTGTGTTAATAGTACAATGATGTGAGATAATTGTATCAACAATTTTGTGAATAACTTACTAAATCAATTTGGGGAAAATAAAAGTTGTAATAATCCCATTTTCATTGCTTATTTTTATATTATTTCTTAATTTATATAAGAAAAAGACAGCAAAGATGGAGTGCAAGGAATTACACTGTTCTTTGGCTCTGCTTGTGTAGTGTGTCATGTACGTAGCTGTCATCTGTCCTATGTGCTACAGAGAAACACATGTTGAAAACTGCTGACTTGCATGATAAGATCCAAAACTATTCTCGTGAACCAAAAGATTATTTGAGGTCTGAGCATTACAAATATTTTGAACAACTCTGCTCCTGCAATTAATCACCAGGTTTTTAAATTATGCAATGCATCCTGGTCTTTATGGCTTTATTTTCTGTTTTTATACATTTTTCCTTCTCTGGCATGGCATTTTCAAAATCTTGTTTAGTCATTTTGAAGAATGCCTCTGAGACATTCTTAAACCTCAGGTCAAACATAATTTCTTTCAGAAAGTTCTTGACCTCCCAGTCATAGGTAAATTCTTTTCTCCCTGTAGCTCCCAGGGTGTCTTATTCATACTGCTATAAAGGTTGTGATTGTTTTATTTCATGTCTCTCCTCTTTTCACTCTGAAACCTTGTGAAAGTCACAAGTTGTGCTCTATTAATCTTCATATTTTTAACCACTGATATTTTTGGCACATAATAATAGACATTCATTCATTTATTCATGCAGGAAACATTTATTAAGTCAAAATAGACAGACTTCATTGGGCATGAACAACTTGCACAAGTACTCAGCCCTAGTAAGCAGTAGGCACAGCTAAATTATGCTTATGCTTATTTTTAAATTCCTATTATATTTCTATTTAAAACGACCAGAATTTGAAATGGTCAGAATCAGAAGCAGCAAAAGTCCCTCTAACTATTAGCTGCCAATGTAAATCAGAAAACAATATTCAGAGTGTAATCATTGAAAAGAAAGGCCTGTTTGTAACCAGTTTTTTTTCAAACACTTCCTCCCAAATTAAAGCTATGGTTTATATCTATCTTATTATTTTAATACTGAAAGATTGGCTGTTTGAAGAAGGAATCTTTGAAATATGATTTTAAAAGAACACTTTGTTTTGAAACTAAGGTTTTCAGATGAGTGTATCATAATGATGACAATTGCCTTAAAAACATACAACATACATTCCGAATTTGCCAAGAGAGCTCGAAAGCTGCAGAAGCTAGGCAATCTCAAGCTATCTTCACAAAATCAAATGAAATATAGCTAGTTATCATTTGGCTGACATCCAAGACGTTAACAAGTAAAATGTACAAATACTGAGTTTGGGTGGAAAGTTTCAACACCTGAAGGAAATTCTGACATGACCAAGGGATTCAAGGAGAATCTTGTGGAAAGTCTGAACTGCTCAAATTTTAACAGTCCTAACCTCACTGAACACACACACACACACACACACACACAGACGCATGCATGCACACACACACACGCACGCACACGCACACACACACACACTTCTGCTTTCTAACCCTTGTTCTCTTTGCTCCTGTGTTTGTTTGTTTGTTTGTTTGTTTTTTCATCTTATAGCCCTGTATGTCCAGGTCATTTCTAGACCTCATAAAAGAAGAAGACAGGGTAATCTCTTATTCCGTTCCCACAACAAGGGAGTAGTTACTAGAGATCAGCATTATTCTCTGTTAAAATTCTAATGAGGCAGCAGTGATAACTAGCTAACTTGCCTCAATTTCCTACCGCAATGATGTGAAGTCAGTAGCTCAACTGAGAGAATATTTTGTGCAGTTATTCTGTTTATTGTTCATCAAAATATATGAGGTTTGGTTGAGAGGTTCATGTAACTGAGGAACCAGTTTGTTTCAATGACAAGCCACTATATTAATCACACTTAAAGTTGAATATATTCTGTAGTTTAACTCTTAGGAGGTCAGTTTGCAGGTCAGTTTATTTTGTGGCTAAATTTGTTTTGTATTTTATTTCTTGGCCTCAGCATCTGCTAAGTAGCTCTAAACCTTTAAGTGTCTTATGAAGTTTTCTAAAGTATTTTTTAGAGACTTAGAGTTTGCTTAGAAATTTAATTAAAATATTGTCCTCTGGATCAAAACATGGGTGAATTTATATTTTATTAATAAAGGAATGAAATGTAGAACTAGTTGTACCAGATTAATTATACAATATAACATTACTATGAATAGAATTAATTTAGAAGACTTTAAAAAATAGGGCACTATTATATGCTCATAATCCAGCATACTATGTAATTTACAAGGCTGCTTCAGACTTTAGAACATACAAAACTACATTAAGGTCATAGTTCTCTGAAATATTTATTAAAAGCCATACACTCTAGTGCACAAGTTAATAAAAATAATTATGTGATATTTCTTATTAAAATGGTCAATAGATATATGAGATATTGTATTTGTTCACATAGCTATCCTGCTCTCCATTTCCCAAACTATGCTGCTAAAATGTTTTGATTGGGCAGAAAAAGAGTTCTATCAGTAGAGAATATCCATCAAACAAATGCTGGTAAATGGGGAATAAGAAGCAGGGAAGATATGGAATATAAGTAATTTTGAAATTTATCACACTTGTGATTTGTCCTTGTATATGTATCACCTATCCAAGATTTGCTGCAAGGCCTATCAACCTGCTTTGTCTCTTTATTAGCTTGTGAAGTAGTGCTCAAATAAAAAACCCATAACCTTTTATTTTCATTCAGCTTCTGGATGCTTTCCACCAACTTTCATTGCCTTGGGATTATACTTCCCACAAAAGCATTAACGCTTAAATTTTGCTTCATGCTTATTTTCTAGGAAATGCAAGCTAAAACAATTAGTACCAGAAATGGCATGACTTTTTTTTTTTAAATAATGCTAGATGCTTTGGGGAAAAAGAAGAAGAAACAGAAAGCTAAAAATTCTTATCTTAATACATAATCTGAAAAGCAAAGGGCTCCTCTAGCAGTGTTTTCCTAAAGCTGTCATCTCACAGCCACAGAAAAGAATGTGTTGAAAATCAAGCCCAGAATCTGTTTTTGAGTGTAACTGAATTGCATATGAAACTAATTGCTTACCATAAGACATTCACATGCGATGCACCCTAACAGTTAAATCTAATATTAAATAAATGAACTGAGCAAAGTTTCAGGATATAAGATCATTGTACAAAGTATTTTTTCTATACATACCCATGAACAATACAAAAATTTAAATTAAGGAAACCATAACATTTATAATATTATCAAAAATAAAATTCTTAGGTATAAATAAACAAAAGAAGTATAAGACTTGTACACTGCAAGTACCAAATATCATTAAAATAAAATAAAGAAATCCTAAATAAATAGAAAGGAATTCCATGTTCATGGATTAAAGACTTGTTAAGATGTAATACTCTAAAACTTCATCCACATATTTAACAAAATCTTGTCAAGTCCCAAATGCATTTTTTGCATAAATTAACATACTGATGCAAAAATTTAAATACAAAAGAACTGAGAATTATCTAAACAATCTTGGAAAGTAATAAGTTTGAAAACATATACTCGCCAATTCCAAAGCTTACTATAAAACTGCTGTAATCAAGACTTTGTGGTACTTGCATAGGATAGATGTATAAATCAATGAAATAGAAATATAAGTACTGTAATAAACCCATACATTTATGGTCAATTGAATTTTAACAAGAGTGTCAAGAAAATTTTATGAGGAAAGAAGAGATTTTTTTGACATATGGTGCTGCAAACATCTGCATATCTACATGAAAAAGAAGGAAGTTGTAATCCTTCCTCACATTATATGTAAAAATAGACCCCAAATAAATCAAATAACTAAAAATAAGCATTAAAACTATAAAACTCTTAGAAGAAATCATCAGTATAATTATTCATGACATTTATTCTAGAAATGCAATATTTAAACATAATACCAAAAGCACAAGAAATCAAAGAAAAAATAGATAAATTGGACTTCATCGAATTTAAAAGCATTTTCACCTCAAAGTAGAGTATCAAGATAGTGAAAAGGTAACAAACAAATGGGAAAAAATATTTGTAAATCACATATCTGATGAAGGTCTAATATCCAGAATATATGAAGAACCCTTAGCTAGAGCTCAACAGGAAGATCAAATAATTCTGTAAAAAAAAAAATGGGCAAAAGATTAGAATAGAGATTTTTCTAAAGAAGATGTACAAATGGACAATATATTCCACATCATTGGCCAACAGGAAAGTGAAATGCATTAGGAAAAGCCACAGTGAGATAACCACTTCACATACACTAGGAGGTTTCTAAGCAAAAGAGCAGACAATAAGAAGTGCTGGCAAAGATTTGGAAAAATATGAGCCCTCATACTTTTGCTGGTCAGAATATAAAATAATGCAGCTACTTTGAAAAACAGTTTGGCAGTTCCTTAAAAAGTTAAGCATAAAGTTCCATATGATCCACAGATTATACTGCTATGTATATATCCAAGATAACTGAGACCACATGTCCACACACAAACTTGTTTGAAAGTTAATAGCAGCACTATTCATAAAAGCCAAAAAGTGTAAACAATCTAAATGTTTATCACAGCACTATTCAAAAGAGCCAAAAAGTGCAAACAATCTAAATGTTCATTATCTGATGAAGGAATAAATAAAAGGTAGCATATACATGCAATAAAACATTATTCAGCCAAAAGAGAAGGAAAGAAAGCAGGGCCGGGTGTGGAGGCTCATGCCTGTAATCCCAGCACTTTGGGAGGCCGAGGAGGGAAGATCACAAGGTCAGGAGTTTGAGACCAGCCTGACCAATATGGTGAAACCCTGTCTCTACAAAAAAAAAAAAATTAGCTGGGTGTGGTGGCAGATGCCTGTAATCCCAGCTACTCAGGAGGCTGAGGCAGAGAATTACTTGAACCCAGGAGGCGGAGGTTGCGGTGAGCTGAGAGCCTGCCACTGCACTCCTGCCTGGGCAAAGAGTGAGATTCTGTCTCAGAAAAAAAAAAAACAAAGAAGAAAGAAAGTAGTGATTTACGCTACAATGTAGATAACCCTTTAAAATATTACACTAAGTGAAAATGTCAGATACAAAAAGCTACATATTGCATGATATTTTTATATGAAATGTTTAGAAAAGGCAAGTGCACAGATACAGAAAGTAGATTATCTCTTCAAAGGTTTGGAAGGGAGAGGAGTGATTGCTAAAAGGTATGAGTTTTTTACTGGGCTGAGAATATCCTGAAACTTGATAGTTGTGACAACCATACCACCTTGCAAATATACAAAAAAATACTGAATTCTTTACTTCAAACAGGTGAATATTTTAGTAGGTAAATTACATCTAGAAAAAAAACCCACACACACACAACACACATACTGTAGCAATTAGAGCTAGTATTAAAGAAGTCAACAAGAACAGTACTATGAGAGTTTTGGGGAAAATGCACCTAACCAGCAAATTACTAAAGCTCTGGACCGTTTTGAATTAACCCTACAAGGAGGAAGCAAATAATGCCAAGTTGGAGGGAAATTTATAGATTAAAATCACTCACTTCTCTTTGCTAACCTAACTGAGTCATTCTTAAATGAAGAAGGAGTTAATCCGCTTCAGCTAATCTATAAAACTATTTGGCATTGATACATGTAAATATTTAATAAAACAAAATATCCATGTATTAAATACTGAGTGACAAGAGATGAATACAACTTAGCTCTATTTTTCAATGACCATATAGCCTAGAAGTTAAGGTAGATATTATTTAAGGCATGAATATTCTATGCCTTTGCAAACTTACTTGTGTGTTTGTCACCATACTCCAACTTACAGCAAAAGCCGTAAACAGTCAACGAGTAGTTAAAGTTGTAGCAGGTATCAACTAAGTGTTGAGTTTCAGTAACAGAATCTTTTCAGCCTCTAAGAATGAAAGAGAAACAGGCTATCAAAGGAATCTGGTAATAACCAACATTCAGATGCTTAATGATGGCTTAGCTGAAAATGTGGAGAACAGGATAGTGGAGGAATGATATGCCATGAATTCTGAGGATCTGAAGCAGAATTCCAGTGTTTAGGAGTGCCTAAGAGCAAACACGTACAAAATGATCCCCAAAATAAGGAAGTAAGGCCAAGAAGTAAGGCAATGACTCAGAGATGAGAAGTCAAGAGGGTTACACAGCTACTTGAGTCTGCATGCAAGGTCAAATAAGGCTAGTATTAATCTGATTCTTCTAAGTTACCAGTGTTCAGCTGCATAAGGAATCACATCTCATTCACTCCTTGTCACTTCTACACCAAGTGGGAAGCTTGGCATATAGCGGGCACTCAATAAATATTTATTTAATAAATGAAAGAATGAATGTAATGACCCCAGCTGTGATAGTTAGAGGGACACAGGAGCAAAAAGCTAAGTCAACCATGATACTTGACTGTCTTTGTGCAGCCAGGCCTTTTAACGACATTAATAGCTTTCATGAGGTCAATAAACATAGTGTGGGAAATTATTCTTTAATTTCTGCAATTTACTACCAAGAATCAAGTCATTCAATTACCCTTCAATGTGGCCTCAGGCTTCTCTGTAATTCTAGAAGTATAGTTAACAAAGAGCATCCAAAGTTAATGCAAGTAATCTGGCCCGGATTCCTTCTTCAATGCAGCATTCTAAATATGGCTTACATACATGCATAGGCTATCAAAACATCAAAAGACTGGCATTGAAAAGTATTTGATCTGCAAAGGCAAAATTCATCCTATTTTGTTATGTCAAATTCCTTACATTTCAAAATTATAGCAATTGTGAGTTTCCATATATTTACTTGGGTGTTTATTAAAGTTCTTCTATCATATAGACGATGTCATCTATATTCTAAAATCATAAGACCCACATATGCTGCCTTAGTTGTGGAAGCTATCCAAAGAAGATGAGATGACCTGTGTTGTTTTGGACTGCAGTTTGCAGTTCATCTAGGTTTTATTATCACAACCTAAGCTACTTAGTATGTAGGGTCTTGGACACAGTTAAAAGGCACTATCCGATTATTGGTAAGGCATTCTTTGATGTTTTGACCAAACTTCTTTGGTAAATTGGCTATACTGATGTAACAAAATCCATTGCAGTTATGACTACTGAGGAAATGATATATTGGTGCCCACTTGCTGTGTAATACCTGTAATAAATAGGAGATAATAAAGTTTAGTTATTATCATTTTCAGTTAGAATTTATTCCTCTAATAAGCTATTTAAAGACCAAGAAATTGAATAATTTTTTTGATATTTTAAAATTGTTCCTACATTGAAAATCAACACATATTCATGTATTCATTCAACAAATTTGTGTTAAGTGTCCACTAAGTGGCAGGCACTTAGTGGCATATATAGGAATGGAAAAACAGCAATATTATTGAAAATGGTATATTTTCAACAATGTTTAAGATCTGTTAAACATCATGGATGTTAAGAACATGTTGAAAAGATTTGGAAGAAAAACTATGTAAGAAAAACTCAGATTTTATCATATATTGTATAGCAGCGATATTTTATAAGGCATGTAGATAATCAAAATTTTAAAAAGATTTTCTTTATTAATGTCTTATTTCCTGACTAACTAACAGTGCCAGATACTTCTATACATTTATTCCCCATTTCCCAGTACTCTCCTAGGTTTGTTCCTCCTTATATTAAAACCTGGATGATAGCTTTTGAGAGGTTTTCCCATATCCCTACTCAAAAGTAAGTACCATAAATATTAAAATAACTATTTATGACATGGCATTTTAGTTGAGGTATAGTCATAGTATCATCTGTTGCCAGGGCTTTAATCAAGTTTTCTCTCTGCATTATCTGTCCATTAACAAATTCAGAATTCTCAGAACAGAAATCACTCCAATAACTCAAAGACAGTTTATGAGTAGGTATATTTTATGTAATACATGTATAGTGCTATCAATATAGTACAAACAAATAAAAGTCTTGAAAAAACATAGTTTACCACTTAACAGAAGCTTTCAGTGAATCCTTTTGTAAAGATAAAAATCGCTGACATTTAGTCATGTGTGTAAATATAGATTTTCTTTTATTAGGTTTGCTTTATTATGATTTGTTCTTTCAACTCACAAGTTCCCCAAACTTTTGAATCTGTATTTACTGTTATTTTTATATAACAAAGCAGCAAAATACATGTGTAAGAGCACTGAATATAAGAGTCAGAATTGTATATTTCTGTGAACTTGAGTGTGTCTTTTATTTCTCGGACCTAGTCCAAAGGAATTATATTAGATGCATGTTCAATTTCTTCCAATTCTAAAATGTGATGATATGTTGTGATGCAACAGCTACTTCCGTTATGTTAGAAGCTTTTTATCAGTACCTACAGTACAAAAATAGAATTGACTAAAAGTAATCATCTGGTGCTTTTCTTCTTGATGTGATGTAAGCTATTCTTAGAACACATTCTAGTCTCTGTCATATGCATAATTCTAAATAGAGTTTTCTGACTGTTCAGATATTCAAAGAGCTTCAGTAATTTGTGCACTATGGAATTCTACCTGGGCCACAAGGTAGTGACCGATATTCTGATCTGCTCTTTTGAGGACTTTACAATGAACCTAATTAAGCTTATTTTCTCTTATATCATTAAAACAGATTGTAAGACCAAAGTTTAACTTGAAAGGTGACTATATGCTCTTTTAAACAGAAAGCAATATTTTATTTTAATTGTTGAAACATTTGTCATGTTTCCATTCCTATTGATTTTTTACATCATTACCATTGAATAATTTTTCCAAAAATTATACTATAAGTTTAAACATAAAACTTGAAGTTCATAGCTATATCAAAGATGCCATAGCACTGATCTTGATATAGAATTACAGCCATTGACAATTGTAAGGGCATTTACATGAGAGAGTTTATAAATAATTCTTAGCAGATCAATTACGTTAGAAGCTATTGCAAGAAACAAACAAATAAACAACTCGACAAGGCTCAGGACAATTACCTGATTCTTACCAATGGGCGGTACAATCGTATCAGAGAACATGGTGAGCCCCTGCCTCCATTTGCAACTGAGATTGCATACTTTTCTTCCTCTCTATGTTTCCTCCCATTTAGGAGAAATAAAACCACAGAGCTTGTTGTACCTCACTGCCCTTGTTTAGTGCCTTCTTGCATCTTTAAAATGTAAACTTCCTAATCCAGAAAAGGGATTGTCTTTTCTAGCATCCCAAGTTTAGCTCAATAGCTGGCACATTGCGGGCACTCAGCCAATGTCTGTGAATGTCTTTAATCCATAAACGGGAAAACTGAGGCCCAGAGATAAGTAAAGTGGCTTGTCTGAAGCCACTCAGCTTATTTGCTGGCAGAACTGTGAGTCCTCACTCTTGTAAGTCTAATAATCTTTCCACAGAACCACACCACATAAAGCAATGCAGTTAGCCTATGTACATTCCGGTTATTTCAATTATGCTTTTGTCCTCTATCTGCTTTATAACAATATTCTGAACAGACTTGCTCCTTGAACTCCTGAAAACCAAAACTTGCACTCATCCATGAATATATCACCTTTGCCCCTACTCTATGCTCTGCTTGTTTTGCACATTTTGGAATCTTGCCTGTGCTTTCAGAGCTAAGAAATCTCCCCATTGTAATTGCCTGAGTGTCTGCCTGATGGTCATTAGCCACATAATCCCAAAGCAGCCAGAAAGCAAAATTTCACTTATCACGTATTTTATCTTTATTGATACACAGTGTGATTATACCTCTGAAGAGTTAATGCTCCAGAAATATTAGGTATGTTCATATGAGATCCATGAGCCATTTCAGATGATAAAAAAGTACCACTTTATGGAATTCAAACCAGTCCATTAACTTTGCATTGCCTAAAACTATCAGGTTAGGATTTTTACTTGAATGGGCTTGAACTTTCTTAGTGGCTATTTCTTCCTTTCTATATTAAAATCTCACCCTTATTGCTGCTGAGTATATAAACAAGCATATACATATACAAACACTCCACTTAATTAAAACCAGAAAGCTCATTCACTTAATTAGTTAGTGTGAATAAAGCACCCTTTGGAAAAGATGCTACTTTTCCCACTTTAGAAAAGCAATTTAACAAATATTAGTGACTCTCTTTGGCTCGGTGTAAATTGTGTTCAGAAATGTGCCAATATTTACATGCACACACACTTCAGATGCCTCAACAAGACATTAAACAAATTCATAGCATATATAATCAGAAACATTTTATCATTTGTAGAAAAATTAAACTAGTGAAGAACTTCTTGATTTTTCTTTTTAATTTTTCTCTACAGTTTAATAAGCAAACCTGTTGGCTGTTAAACATAAGTATTCTTCTAAAATGCTCCACATGAGCTATCTTCTGACAATGCTAACAAAAACATTATAAGAGAGTGTAACTATTGCCTCCACATATAGATGAGGGAACTGAGGCACATGTAGGTTAAATAATTTGCCAATGGTGGAGCTTGAATTTGAATCCAGGAAATCTTGATTCCAAAGTTGGTGCATTTAATCATTGGCCTGTACAACCGTGTTAGGCAAAACAAGTGTAAACTTTGTATTTTATTTGAAAACATATTTGCCTAACTATTCGCAGGTATCTATGAATACTGCAGGTATCTTTCACTGTTCAAATGTAAACCTTTCTGTGATTTAAATTCTGCTGGACATTGCACAACACATCTAAAATAATTATTTAGTCTCTCATGCATTGATTTACCATGCTCCTCTGTAATAAGGGAAACTTTTCCCTAAAATGACTTAAATCATCTCTCTGATTGCTCATTACTTTGATTTTAATGACTCAAATATTATTTTTGATTTCCTCAATATTTTAATACTACCTCAGTTTGGGAACCTCCCCTAAATTATTAGAAAATTCATGGACTAGGTATCTGAAATACTTTACAGCTTTAGTATGAGCTAAAGCTACATAATACACTTGTTGGAACCACGTTTAGGAATTTATAAACTACTGTATCACTCAAAGCTTAAGCTGAATAGTGTTCTGATTTTCAAGCCCATCCGGAATTAGAAACTGAAATCCACAAGAAATGGACGAGTAAAGTGGAAGCGACCACTTGGTACTAAAGAAGGAAGCTTGGACACACAAAAATTCACACAGATTTGTGTTATTACAATGTTTAATGATAAATATTCAAAATAAGAACACACATTATCAATAAAGAGCAAAATGTGTTTAATTATAGTAGTCTGAAAAATTATAAATAATATGTATTACAAAAATGATGATTAAAAAACAAGAAATAAAAATTGTTGGCAAGGGTGTGGAGAAGAGACAACCCTTGCACACTGTTGGTGGAATGTAAATTGGTACAACCATTATAGAAAGCAGTATGGAGGTCCATCAGAATAGAGCTGTCATACAATCCAGCAATTCCACTTGTTGGTAAAGATCAAAAGGAAATGCATCACTCCTACTTATAAGCTGGTTGTTTGGAACTCTTTTTTTATTCAGTTATTAAATGGCATGTTCTGTTTTGCTCATTTTTCTGACCAGTTTTAATTACTCTGTTAATTTCTGAATCTCCTCTGGAATTTTGTCAAAAATGCTAGGAGTAAAGTGAAAAAAACCTATAGCCAAATTCTAATGAATAAGAATTAAGTATCTACCATGATAAAACCTTTCTAGGCATTGTTGGGGATTTACAAATTGTGATAAAATAGGTATTATACATACATTAAAGCAGTGCAAGCAACGAGGAAAGGCATCATCTTCCTCTATAATTAATTAATTTCTATTGGATATGGATCTGATTCTATTATTACCAAAGACAGAATTAAAGTAAGCATTCAATCTTTGGAAATAGGCTAGTCATTATATTAATTTTCAGCATGCTATTAAAATATACACACATGATTAAATATTTCAAGTCAATTTAACTTCTAATAACAGAAATGTTATAAAAGTAGAATAATGCTTCCCAAATGTCTGGGTAATACAAATATACTCAGAATGATGAAAAAACAAAAAGCAAAGAAATGATAAAAGGCAAGATGAAGAGTAAAGGGAATCAAATAAGATAATTTAATGAAAAAATCTAGGAAAGGAGAAGTAGAAGAGAATACAATAAGTCAAAGATAATGAGAATGGAGAAGAGAAATTAGCTGTAGAAAAAGGTAAATTCTGAGATATGAATTTAGACTATTTACAGTTCCATTTTGGGTGGATTTAAACAAATGGCAAATGTCCACTAAGTAACCTTGAGTATTATGATATTTCAGATATAATAAGGTCAGGAAAATAGTGAGCCTGTCTGAATTTGTGTCTGTCTTAAAAATTTATGTTAATGTACAAACATCACAGGCATATATTAATGAGGTTTTCTCCTACACATTTTAAGTGTTCATAACTCTCTTGTTACCTTGAGCTACCTATGTGTTTGAGGAGGATTTAAATTTTTTAAACTGTCATGTAAATAATAGTAAAAATAAATAATAGCAATAAGTAAATACCAAACAAGATATTTTAAATATATTAAAATCACTCTATGCTAATGCAGTACCTTTAATGCTTTGCATTAATGGATACCATAGATTAGCTCATTTAGTATCTATGTCAACTTCTTTCTATTGTACTTTCTTGAAGTACAGATTCTGATAAAGATTATATTTTTATATTTTCTTATAACTGGGATTCAAGATTTTATTTAGCTCCCATCCATTATATGTTCTCATGCATTCTCTGAATTTGGAATTGTACAAAGTGGAAAAAGTCAAGGTGTGATGCATCCATTCTATTGAAGCATGTCACCAGCAATATGACTCTACAGTTAATGACCACTTGATTTAGAGAATTTCCTTAGTAATAGCAGCAGTTTCCTGAATGTGGCATCATTCTGAAGTAAGCAACTTCACGATTTTGAACCATGGAACTGCATCTTGCAGTGTGATTCTGGAGATTAAGAGTTGTTCCTGGAATTTTGGCCTGAAGCAAGTTCTATTGACGATATTTTCAGCCATTAAATATCTGGCAATGAATCATTTTCTTTGTAGGTTTGGAAGAGTTGTCTGTGTTCTCTATAACAAACATCTAACTGATAAACTATATGAAAAAGAAAGGATTAATACATATCCTCTGACAACCAAAGTAGGATTTCCAAGTTCATAGCTAAAAAATGGGCTTGAAAGACAGGTCTTCCAAAGACAGAAAATAATATTCTAATTGATTTAGCACTGAAATTTAACAAGAAGCATACTAGACCACTTCTAAACAGGATGCTGAAGAAGGGAAGGATCCAGTATCCAGATAGGATGTTGAAGAAGGGAGGAGTCCAATGCCTATTTCCACCATTATGATTGATGGCACAAAAAAGTTGATTCAGGTAAGAAAGACAGAAGTTAAAACATATGTGTTTTGATATTCTTTCTCCATGTTTGGTCCCAGAATGGAGAGGTGTATAACATCATGAAATGTCAAGGCAAGGTGTTGCAACACTTCACATTTAAAATATTTGAAGGAGATTCCCTTGAAACTTGCCCTATAACAGAATCTTGAGAGTGGCCATGTCAAATGGCGTTTCTAGGAAAAACTGATTAAGCTAGAAGGCAGGCAGGAATGCTGCTTTCCTGAGCACCTCTTGAGTCCTGCATGGTATGATTGAGACTCAAATGCTCCTTAATGTCATACAGTTGAACTATGTAAAGGAGCTGAGCAGATAGTTAGAATGCCTACTGTTTGGACCACCACAGCAACGCAAGAGATGGTACTGGAGCAGAAGCTTTGGTATAGACTGGCTGACCTGTGAGCCAGGTAAAAACAAAACAAAAAAAAAAACAAAAAAAAACAGTGAATGCTGAGAGGAATTTCACATCCAATAAAATCCAAAGTGAAACCAACCAGCCTACAGGCATGTATCCTAGCCAAATAAACAAATTAAAAATCCAAGGTTAGGTCATGAGCACAATCCATTCAGCATCAGATACCAGTATGATGATCAGGGATGGTAAGTTCAGATCTCAGTTACCAGTCCAGGGAGAAGCCCAAATTAGTTATTCCATTAGAGAAACCCTGATGATCTGGAGAACACAAGGTGGATTTAAGGAGTATATTTCCCTCCTGCCCCACAAGGTCATGAAAACTATACACCATCCCCATATCTCCAGGCACTACTGGAGAGGGGCAGAGAACCTGAAAATACTCAGCATTTCATGTAAAGAGAATGAGAAGTTTCTCTAAGGGATTACTGAAATATTTAACCAGATTGAACTATAAATTCATTTTTGATTTTTGTTACTTTTTCTTGCTTCCCAGTGGGGTAGGCTACTTGAGGAAAATGTCATTTATAGAAAAAATTAAAAAACTGTTTTCTTTTACTATTAATTTGTAGCATAGGTTTATAACTATGTTCTATTTGGATACCAAAAATTTACTGACATATGACTAAATAAGATTGATTTTACTAGTGTAATGACTACAAGTGAAACACTAAAATTATAAAGAAGCTAGAATTCTAAATTACAGGATCTTTTCAAGAAGCATGAATTGAGTGTAGGCATAGTTACACTTTTATAGGTTCCTGTTTATGCCAACAAACAAAAAAAAGCTAGATAAAATGTAAACAACTTATCAAATTTTATTACCAGTGTTTTTGTGCACTTTTTTCTTTTCTTTTTAAAATTAATTTTAATTTTTAACCATAAATTTTACCATAATTGACTATTGTTATTGGTATCTATTGGTAATAGATTCTATCATAAATTGAATATTGTTATTGGTATAGAGTTTCATGAATATTAACATGTATAGAATTAAACATCACCAAAATTACAATTCAGAGAAGATTCATCACCTTTAAAAAAAATTCCTTGTTTTATTCCTTTATACTCCCTGCCAACCCCCACACATCCATGCACCTAACCCACATCAACCACTGATATGTTCACTAACAGTGTACATCTGTCTTTTAGAGAATGTATTATAAATGGAATCTCACAGCGTGTAATGATTTGAGTTCTTTAACTCAGCATAATGCATTCAAGATACATTCAAGTTGTTAGATGTATCAAAAGTTGACTTTTTAAAAAAATTGCTTAAATGAACTACATTATAGGAATACAGATGCTGTAAACATTCTTGTTACAGATTTTTGTGTGAACATAATTTTTTTTCTAATTACATAAGAGTAATAGTCTTTGGTCATATGATGAAAGTATGTATAATTTTATAAGAAACTTCCAAACTGTTTTTCAGAATGGCTCTATTAATTTGCATTTTCACCAAAAATGTGTGCAAGTTACAGATGCTCCACCAACTTGTTAGTGCTTGACATTATCAGCATTTTGATTTTAACTACTCTGAAGGGTATGTAGTAGTAATTCATTCTGGTTTTAATTTACATTTTCTTAATGGCTAATTATGATGAACATTTTTCTATATGCTTATTTGCCATTTTTATATCCTCCTTGGTGAAATGCCTGTTCAAACGTTTTGCCCACTTTTAATTGGATCACAGGCTTTTTAATTTTTAACTTAGTTCTTTATATACATCTACATGTGTGTGTATACATTTATGTGTATATATATATGTGTGTGTGTGTGTATATCTTTGTATTCCTTATACATTTTGTTATTTATATGTTCCTTTACCAGATTTGTGATTTGTATTCTCTTACCCATTTTTTGTAAAAGGAAAAATTATCAACTTTGATGAATCTAATTGATCTTTTTTTCTTTTTACTCTTCTTCTAAGAACAATTTGCCTAACCCTGGTCACTAAGTTTTTTTCTAAATATTTTATATCTTTATATCTTGGATGTATATCTATGTTTATTTTGTATATTTTTGTATAAAGCATGAAGATTAGGTTGAGGGTTTTTTCTTGCTTATTTGTTTTTTTGGTGCATGTATATCCAACTGTTCCAGAAACAGTTGTTGAAAAATCTAATATTTCTCCATTTGCAGTTTTGTTGACAATCAATTGGCCATAATTGCATTGATCTATATCTGGTTTCTCTCTGCTACTTCATTGATCTGTAATTCTGTCTCATCGCTGATACCACATTCTGTTGATGGCTGTAGCTTTATAGCAAGTCTTAATGTGAGATTTGCTATAAAGGATAAAGTAATTCTTACAAGGATAGAGTCTTCCTATCTTATATTTCATTGAAATTGTTTTAGCTATCCTAATTCATTTGCTCTCCTTATACAGCTTAGAATTATATAAAATTTAGAAAGAAAATTTTAGATTTACTATAATTTTATTGAAATTCCAGTAAATCCAGAATCAATCTGGATGAGAGTGAGATCTTTACTTTGTGGAGTCCACAAATCTCTGGGCATTTTTTGTCTACCCAATTATTTGGACTCTTTTCTTTCATTAATATTTTGTATTTTTCCATATACCTGTGCATGTTTTGTTAGATTTATATCTAAGCATTTATGAGCTATTATATTCTTTTTTAAAATACTTTATTTTCCAATTATCCATTTCCACTATTAAAAAACTATGGTTGAATTTTGCATAGATCCTGTGACCTTGTAAAACTCACTTATTAGTTTTAGGGGTTTTTTGAATATTCCTTGGCATTTTCTTTTCTTTCTTTTTATAACAGTTTTATTGAGGAGTAAGTGATAGGCAAAGAACTTTACATATATAATGTGTACAGTTTGATTAATTTGAACATATTCAAACAACCTTGATAGCATCACCACAATCAAGGTAATAGACACATCCAACACCTCTCAATGTTTTCTTCTGTACTTTTGTTTTGTTTTTGTTTCGAATGGGTGCAGCACACCAACATGGCACATGTATACACATGTAACTAACCTGCAAGTTGTGCACATGTACCCTAAAACTTAAAGTATAATAAAAAAAAAGAACACTTAACATGTAACCCCTTTCAACAAATTTTGAGGTGTACAGTACTGTATTGTTAATCACAGGCACTGTCTATATTTCTAGAACTTATCTAACATCACTGAAATGTTATACCCATTGAACAATTCTCCATTTTTCTTACCCTGTAGACCCTGAAAATCATTATTGTCTTTTTTCCTCCTAAGAATTGACTAGTATAGATACCTCCAATAAGTGGAATTTTACAATATCTGTCCTTCTGTGAATGGCTTATTTCACTTAGTGTAATATCCTCCAGGTTCATCCATAATGTCAAATGGCAGAATTTCTTTTTTATAAGGATGGAAAATATTCCTTTGTTTGTGTATGCCACATTTTAAATCATTAATCTCTTAATGGACACGAGATTTTTTCATATATTGGCTATTGTAAATAATGCTGCAATCAACATGGGCATGCAGATATCTCCTTGAGATTCTGATTTCAATATTTTTGGATATATAATCCAGAAAGGAATTTCAACCCAATAATAATAATAAAATAACCCGATTAAAAAGTGGGCAAAGGATTTGTACAGATATTCTTTACAGAAGACACACTAATAGCCAACAGATAGATGAAAACATGCTCAATATCATCAATTATCAGGAACATGTGAATAAAAACTACAATACGGTATCACCTCACACCTATTACAATGACTATTATTTAAAAAAAATAACAAGTGTTTCCAATGATGTGGTAAACTTGAAACCCTCATATACTGTTGTTGGGAATGTAAAATGAAGCAACTACTGTATTAGTCCATCCTCCCATTGCTATAATGATACCACCTGAGACCGCGTAATTTGTAAACAAAAGAGGTTTAATTGACTCACTGTTCCACATGGCTAGAGAGGCCTCAGGAAATGCAATCATGCTGGAAGCAGAAGGAGAAGCAAGTACTGTTATCACAAAGCTGTAGGAGGGAGAGAGAGCGAGCAACGGGAAGTGCCACACTTTAAAACCATCTGATCTTGTGAGAACTCACTATCACCAGACCAGCATGGGGGAAACCGTCCTCATAATCCAGTCACCTCCCACCAGGTCCCTCCCTCAATACATGAAGAATACAATTCCAGATGAGATTTGAGTGGAGACACAGAGCCAAACCATATCATTCCACTTCTGGCCTTTCCCAAATTTCAGGTCCTTTTCACATTTTAAAACCAATCATGCCTTCCTAACAGTCCCCCAAAGTCTTAACTCATTTCAGCATTAACCCAAAAGTCCAAGTCCAAAGTCTCATCTGAGACATGGCAACTCCCTTTCACCTATGAGCCTGTATAATCAAAAGCAAGTTAATTATTTCCAAGAACAATATGGATACAGGCAGTGGGTAAATGTTCCCATTCTAAATTGAAGAAATTGACCAAAACAAAGGGCCACGGGCCACAAAAGTTCAAAACCCAGCCGATCAGTCATTAAATCTTAAAGCTGCAAAATCTTTGTTGACACCATGTCTCACATCCAGATCATGCTGATGCCAGGGGCGGGCTCCCACAGCCTTTAGTAGCTCTGCCACTGTGGCTCTGAAGAGTTCAGCCCTTGAAGTTATTTTCACCGATTGGCCTTGAGTGCTTGCAGCTTTTCCAGGTGAATGGTGCAGCCTGTCAGTAGATCTACCATTCTGGGGTCTGAAGGATGGTGGCCCTCTTCTCACAGCTTTACTAGACGATGCCCCAGTGGGGACTCTGTATGGGGGTTCCAACCCCACATTTCCCCTCTGCATTGCTCTAGTAGAGGTTCTCCATGAGGGCTCTGCCCCTGCAGCAGACTTCTTCCTGAACATCCAGATGTTTCCCTACATCCTCTGAAATCTAGATGAAGGTTCCCAAAGTTCAACTCTTGTCTTCTGTGCATCCCCTCAGTACCAACACCATGTGGAAGCTGCCAAGGCTTGGATTTTGTACTGTCTAATGCAACGGCTTGAGATGTATGTACCTTGGCCCCTTTTAGCCATGGCTGGAGCTGAAGCAGCTGGGATGCAGGGCATCAAGTACAGAGGCTGCATAGAGAAGTAGGTCCCTGGGCCCCACCCAGGAAACCATTTTTCCCTCCTAGGTCTCAGGGCCTGTGATGGGAGGAGCTGCCATGAAGATCTCTGAAATGCACTGGAGACATTTTTTCCCATTGTCTTGGCAATTAATATTCGGTTCCTCATTACTTACACAAATTTCTGCAGCCGGCATGAATTTCTCCCCAGAAAATCAGTTTTCCTTTTCTACTACATAGTCAAGTTACACATTTTTCAAACTTTTATACTATGCTTACCTTTTAAACATAAGTTCCAATTTCAAATCATCTCTTTGTGGACACATATAACTGTACATTTTCAGGAAAATCCAGGAAGCCTCTTGAATGTTTTGCGGCTTAGAAATTTATTCTGCCAGATACCCTAAATCATCTCTCTCAAGTTCAAAGTTCCACAGACCTCTAGGGCAGGAGAAAAATGCCACCAGTCTCTTTGCTAAAGCATAGCAAGAGTAACCTTTGCTCCAGTTCCCAATAGGTTCTGCATCTCCATCTGAGATCACCTCAGCCTGGACTTCATTGTCCATATCACTATCAGCATGTTGGTCAAAATCATTCCGCAAGTCTCCAGGAAGTTGCAGACTTTCCCACATCTTTCTGTCTTCTTCTGAACCCTCCAAATTGTTTCAACCTCTGCCTATTACCCAGTTCCAAAGTCGCTTCCAGATTTCTGGGTTATCTTTATAGCAGTGCCCCATTCTCGGTATCAATTCTCTGTATTAGTCTGTTTTCACACTGCTGTAAAGATACTACCTGAGACTGGTTAATTTATTTTTAAAAAAGAGGTTTAATTGACTCACAGTTCCACATGGCTGGAGATGCCTCAGGAAACTTACCTTCAGGAAGGAAAGAAAAAGAAAAGCAAGTATCTGCTTCACAATGTGGCAGGAGAGAGAGAGAGAGAGACAATGAGCAAGAAGAAGTGTCACATTTTAAAACCATCAGCTCTCACGAGAACTCACTCACAACCACCAGACCAGCATGGGGAAACTGCTCACCTCCCACCAGGTTTCTTCCTTGACACATGGGGATTAAAATTCAAGATGAGATTTGGGTGGGGACACAGAGACAAACCATATCAACTATGAAAAGTAGAATGAAAGTTCTTCAAAAATTAAAAATAGAACTATCATACACCTTAAATCTTATATAAAGTCAGCACAAAAGTCACTCTAATTGAGAATATTTTGCTTTATTAAGATAAAAGTAACTTTTCTCCTAATTTACCTGTGCTTATTTGGAAGTTGGTGTGTTTCCCAAAGTGAAACAGTTGTATAAACACTGAAAACTAAATAGGAAAACAAATTACCATTAATAAGCAGCCTGAATATTGATAACTATCCACAGATATGAGGAAAATACAAGCTAAAATCTGTACTCTCCTAAATATTAGACACTTGGTAGGTAATAAGCCTACTTTTTCAAATATTTGCATGCTTAATAACCATAACAAATAGATATTTGGAAGTAAAGCATGCTCTTTGTGTTATATGAAGGGGAGAGAAAAATGACAGAATATTGACCTACTATATTACAGTCATGTAAAAAAAATCACTGAGTTCCTGAGCTCCCCCTTTTCTCCCTTTTAAATTGGAGATGAAACAGTTGATCTTTTTGCTCATCTCACATATTTATTCATTAAAATGTGATGAAATTGGATAACATCAGAAAGTCATTTTGCAACCTTCAAGCCTTCATATATAAAGTATTATTCCTTTTAAATATTTGTTGTAATTTAGCCCAAATAGTAATTTTTAAATATAACAGAGTAAATTTGATTATTTACAACTCAGCTACATAAAGCATTTTATTTTCCTTTAAATTTGATTACTGCTCTAATATTCACCAAAGATATAGACAAAGTACTTTGTATTTAATTATTTAATTTTTCTATTTACATTAAAAGGTAACACAAACTAATTCCATTTAACCTCCCCCTGCTCAATCTCCTTAATGATAAAATATTCTCTCAAATTACAAGTGACATGAGTATTTGTATAGTAACTAATCTCAGTAGTTTAATCCTAGATCTTATTAAATTTAATCTTCCTGAGTATTCGGCACAGGGAATCAAACCTTCTTTTTAAAGTGTCCCCATTCAGGTCTCAATGTACTAATCGGGTTTATCTTTCTATTGCAAACTGACTCAAACTAGCAGAAAAGGAAGGAAGAAAGGAAGGAAGGGAGGAAGGGAGGAAGGCAGGAAGGGAGGAGGGAGGGATGGAAGGAAGGAAGGAAGGAAGGAAGGAAGGAAGGAAGGAAGGAAGGGAAATTTATATGATATTACCAGAGGATGCTTGCAAAAACAAGAGATGTCAACCTAACTACATCAGGCTTTCTCCACAATTCTTTGATTTTCTTGCCATATTTTTGGTTTCCTGCTTCAGGTCATCTTTCTTTGCACTCCATCTCCCCATATTTGATCAAACTTTATGTTCTTATGCCCTCTCTTAACTGTATTCTATCTCCCTAGATCATCCCGTTCATTCTCTTTGATTGAGCTTTCATGTTGACGTTTTGACTCAAACTTTATTACTTGTCTCGATACTCCTGGTTTGATGCTTGTACTTCTACATTTTTTTTCTGTAATTGTTTACCTTTCTCACATCCCACATCTTGATTATTGAGTATATTTATGCACATACTTGAGTTAGAAACCCCAATTATCAAAAATAATTCATCTTTCATGATATTATATTTTAAATCTGTCATTAATTCCTTTTAATTATATTCTTTTAGCATCTCAAGAATCCATTCCCCTTTCTCCATTTGCACAAAAATTTCCATAGCTATATCCCTGAATATGAGTTGCTTGCCTTATCATCATGGCTTTGTTAAAGTTCCCTCTGTCTTTCTGCTTCCTCATCCCAAACCATATTGCTATGATGTTCTTCCTAAATTACTGATTTCATTATGCTATTCTCATATTTATAAACCTCTGTAAGATATAGTAAAATCCCTTTGTATAGCAACAAAACCTGACACATTGGAATATACTTAAATACATTTATGATATTTGAGCTTTGATTGAGGTTGTTTACATAACTTATGGGCTTTATAATGGCCTTCAATACATCAAACATTATACCACTGTCTTACTAGTAGAGTGGGACCTAGTTTTGAATCCAAATTTGGGTAAAGGAATTAGGCAAGGAATCTCGATGCTTAGATGCAGCAATTCATAGATTGGCTAAAAAAAGAACATAAAAAGTATACATATAATTTATATATATACATATATTTGAGAAGTTATGCATGAATAATGGGACACTTTGTAAAATGCAAGAATAGTAAATGGCGTCTGCCATGTAAGAGAATGCACTTTAAAGGAAAGGAGATCTTTAGGCTGTAGGAGATGATAGATGATAGAGTATGTGTTGGAGTGGAGTTTTATGGAGAGTAAAAAAAGCAAATGAAGAAAAAGAGAATGGAGAAACACAAGAAAATGTTTAACAAAGAATAAAGGCTACTTTGATTTAGTGTTAGGTTTAATAATTGGTAAAATTCTCAAATTTAGAAGTCATAAGAAAAATAAAACATTTGAAATGTTCTCTCCAGATTTAAAAATAAGAAAGTAAAAGAATCACCTACAATTTCTTAAAATCAATAAATTTTATTACAATGTCGTGTTTAAAAAATGTCATGTTATTTTGTTTCACCATGAAATAAGGCTTAACTCTCTCTTTGTCTGTATATAATATATTTCTCAAGCACATCAAAACATTAGATTACTTACCACTTTTCTTGCCGAGGGATGTATCTGCTTCTTAATATGGTGCTCACGGTTTTATACTGGCAATTTTAGCATTAGGAAATGTTAATAACAAGAGTAATATGGTACATGTGGATTAGTTACCTTCTTAAACTGACCTGTCAATATTTTGCATGTCATTGTCATCAAATCTTCCAAAGAATGAACATGTTCTTTCCCTGAATTGAGATGCACCATTTATAATGGAATGGAGAGAGATGTATACATAAATCTAGGTAGGAACTATGAGTTGCACTTACATGTGGAATATTCTGAGTATGTTACTGAAACAGGAAAACTATTGATGTTTTTCATATATTAAAAATTGTTTCTATTCCAGAGTCATCCTTGAAAGGGAACGTCTTAAAAAGAGAAAGCCTCAACCAGGCACTAACCACCTCTCCCCACCCTATCCCTCCTACACCTCCCGCTTTTTTGTGCATATGCATGTTTTAGTTAAATCACTGACAAGGACTACCAGCCTTATGTTTCTACTAATGTTAGGAACAGCACATAGAATTTGTAATGTTAAGCATAACAGCTGATCATAGTATAGAGGAGTAGAAAAGGACAAAAAATGATGCCATTAACCATGCAAATGTGTGCCACATCTGTACTAAATTGTCATTTGCATGAATACAGCTAAGGCAAGCAGGATTACTGTCATTAGAGCAATGCTGTTTGCACTGCTATATTGTACTTAAGGTTGTGTGGGTGTTTCCATTTATAATGCCACCCTTCTCTTTAGGGGTTTGTAATTTGGTTGTAATAATCTGCTTTTGGATGAAACATTACTACAAGTTCACAGAGGGGGAGAAATTTTTAATTACAAAATTGGATTCAAATTGGTACAGCCATATTTTATCTGGAGAAAAGCATTTAAGAACACTAACAAAAAAAAAATGATGTTTCCTTCCAAAATACAATTCTTTAGAATAGAGTGTGTAAGGATGTGGTTTTTTAAGCCTAAGATAGAAAACTGTCTTTATTTTCACATTTTCTATTTGTTGATTTTGCATAGTCTTCCAACAGGAGACCAATACTATATAATTTGTCAATTTTACTTCTTGACAAACTTCTGAAAAATATTATTTTAAGTAGACATTTTATTAATGGTTTTATCATCCAAGCTTTTAATAAACTACATATTGTGTATTAATATAGGGTGTCTTTAGAATCTAACAAGACACGAGGTAGTGCATAGATATTTAAGAAAAACTTTAAGTTTTGCCTACTTATAAAAATAACAAATTACTTCAGCTTTCGGAAAGGTTGGCAAGCAGTTTAAGTGCTATCATAGGATTTTTTTTAAAAATCAAAGATGTAATTATGACTCACAATTATCAATTAGAATAACTGGTATATTGACTTTATATAGACATTAGTTGGCAAGAGATGTTGTCTGTGCATAGGTCTTGAACACTTCAATAACTTTATATTCTGAAAAGAAGGACTTAGGAATACATGTGTGTATATACATGTGTCTATCTATCTATCTATCTATCTATCTATCTATCCATCTATCTATCTATATCTATCTGTCTATGTTCTCTGTTGTATAGTAATGGCTAAAAGCAGAACTGAAGTTAATGCTCACTCATTGAATAGAATTATTGGTGATCAAATTAATTAAGATTGTTACTATAATACTCTAAGGAAAAGATAGTCATTTGTTAGTTTTAGTAATTCCCCATGGCTGTTGACAATTGTCATTTTGTAGATACACAAAGTATATGCACCATAAATCCATACACATTTATAGATGTTTCAGTCAGGCTCCTGTCAGAAAATAGATGACACCATCAGATAGAAAAATTGGAACAGAGTTTACTAAAGGGACTAATTATAATGGCATGAGTGGGACAGAGAAATGCTGCAAGAAACAGTGCAGCCTCTTGGGAGTAGTGACAGAAGGGCTTAAATAACATACCTCAGCTTGAAGGGCAAGAGGAAGAGGCAGTTATCAGAACATGGAGAGAGAGAGCTTGGGAGAACCTTACTTCTGAAAGGAGCCAGGACCTTTGGTCAAAAGAAACTATCCCAATGTAATCTCTGAGAGAAGGCACAGGGGGAGTAGACCTCTGCGCATTCATTTTCTCACTGTTGCAACCTTCTTGTAATGTTCTTTTTTGGCCATTGGAGGGACAAACAGAAGGCCACTGGCACAGTAAGTCACTAAAAGTTCTGAATTTAAATGGCTTTAAATCCTAAAAATCGCTATTTAATAGCAACTAATAGCTATTAAAGACAGCTTTTTTTGCAATATTAACTGAAGCCCTCAGTCCAGTGACAGCAGGTGAATATTTTGGCATATTTTAAAGTTATTTTTGCTAATATTCATGTTCATGCAATCTACTATGTTTTAAAATTTCAATTAATTCATCAATTCTCAAATAACTTATGTAGAGCCTATTATGTAGCAAACAGACAGTCTTGCACGATAAAGTTGGATATGACATGGTCTATGCCATAGAGGGGAGCAAAATGTGATGGGGCAATAGCACCTACAAACAAATAATTATAATTTCAGCATAGGTGTTGTTGTTAGTGGTACAAATTGACTGCTATCAAGAGATGAGCAGTAAGGGATCTATTCATAACAGAGACGAAGAAAGACTTATAGTGTACATCTTAATTGATCTGGGCCTTAAAAGGTAGCTAGATTTCAACAGGCAAAGGGTAGGCTTTCCTGCCTGAGGGAATCCATAGTATGAGTCTGAAAGGACACAGTAGTTCAAGGAACGTTTCACATGGGAACAGTGTTCATTAAAAACAACAAGAACAACAATAAAACAAGTTGATATCTTCTAGGAGGAAACTTTAAATGTTATTACATGAAATTTGTTTTGTACTGAATATGAAAGAGCAAGTTTCAGCATAAGGAAGTAACACAATCACAGCAGCCCACTAGAAAGATTGTTCTGGCTTTTGCAATTAGTTTGCACTACTTTGGAGAGGTACTGTGTGTAGGACAATCGCAAAGGAAAGAATATCAGTAAACTGATATTCACTAAGATGACAAGGTTTGAAATAGAATGGAGACAGTGGAATGCAAAAAGGAGAGGCTAATACAAGAGAGATTTCACGATGTGTTCTCTGACGTCTAAGAATTTCAATACTATATTTAAATGTGAAATAGCTGTCTCAGATCAACTTAAAAGAAAAAAAAGAAATATTTAGATTATCAGATGTATCACTGCCTAGTATCATGTTCTCCTGAATATAAGTTTCTTTTCAATATGCTTTTACAAAGCCAAGGGAGGCCGATCGCTTTCTCCTCTGCCTCCCTGTGGCTCCAACAAGTATCATTATCTCTAATCCCAGCCTTACTCATCCTGCTGAGCAACCAATAGCTATTAAAGATAGCTTTTTGCAGTATTAACTGAAGCCCTCAGTCCAGTGGCGGCATGTGGATATTTTGGCATATTTTAAGCTACATTTTTTGAATGGCTTATTAGAATTTATCGAAGTCATTTTGCGACTGAAAAACTCACTCATCTTACCTGACTTGGAACACACTGCTAGGAAGTTGTATGCTCTTCTTATTTGGTAATTTATACTGATGAATAAAATTTGCTTACTACATTTGCATGTAAATTGGTTTTGTGGAATTATAATTTATTAATGTCATAATCATCATAACAAAAGCATTAATAGCACCAATAATATTTAAAATATATCAGTCAAGTAAAACACCAAGACATTACTAAAAATAATAAAATACATGATCCCTTTTTAAAGTTCAAATAAACATGAATTTCTTAGTGAAACTCTTAAGGCTACAATTCTTTTCCCTTTCAGGTTTTTTTCCTATCATGTATGGATGCTACTTGTTATGATATGAAAACAGTATTCCTGGATTGGGAAGTTAGGACTGGGAGTTTTGTCCCAACTTTGAAAGAGTTGGAAATGTCCCTATGAGCAAGTAACTCTGAGCGTCTCTGGTTCTTTATGGCCAACTATGTTAAATTAAAGAGTTGGACTTGATATTTAATCTCCTTTGCAGATAGTTAGCATGATGTCTTATTTCAATTTCAAATATCCATACATTGATAGTGTGAGAGATTTGCTAAAATAAAATGTTAATAATGTATGTTATAAGTTTATAAGGTGGATTTTGGAAATCACTATGTTTCATAATGACAATATGTGGAGTTCAAGGTTTTGTCTTCATGACACCAGTGAAGCAAAAGACTATACACACACACATATATATATATATATATGCACACAAACTCACGTGCTCACACACACATATACAAATCAGTCAGTAAGCATATTTCCAAACATCTGGATTTTTTACATCATGGAAACCAAAACTTCCAGATGTTTTCACTAAGGCTTAGTGTTAGGCATATTTTTAATACAACTGTTAAGAATCTTAATATAATTAACCCCAAAGAAAAGTACATGTATCGTTTCTGTGTGTGTGTCTGTGCGAGCGCGTGTGTGTGTGCATCTGAGAGAAACAGAGAGAGAGAGGAGGTAAGGAAGGAAGGAAAATTAACCACTTTCCTACTCCATAAAAGATTGCACAGTATACCTGCAACAACTTGCTGAAAAAATAAGATAAATCTTCATTTCTCCATGTTATTGTCAGCTTGACTTTGGTTCCAGACTAAAATGAATGATTTATCATTTCTCAACTTTACACCAACAAAGGATATTTATTTCAAACTTATTTCTGTCTATAATTTCGTGCATGTGTTTTCACAGTGTCTTGTGACTTTCCCTGCATTTTATTGTATTTGAATTCTTATTGTTGAATATATATAAGCACGTGCTGTCCTTGTATTCCTCACCATGTCTGTCTTAGAAACAGGTTGGGGAGAAGCCTTTCAGTGAGCTGCAGAACTGCCGGGGTCACCAAAGAATTCTGCTTTCCTTACTTGTCAGTTTAAGTTACTGTAAAGAGATCAGCTCTTAAAAATGCATGACTTCATGGGGCAAAATGTGTCAAAAAAGGTTTAAAATAATACAATCCTAAGAACCACAGGGGGTGGGAGGTAACAGTAAAAAGAATTACTGGTATTTTCTTCTCCTATATCCTGTATTATAGCCAGTGCGACACATGTGAGATACAGTCATTTTCTCCAAATAAGTTTTGCCAAAATTACTGCATTTACTACTGTTACACTTATTAATTATCTCGATAGGTGTGGCTGGAGTGCCTATCTCTAAATGCCCCTGTGCTTTGCCATGGAGAATTCTTGCTCTCATCTTACGGTGAGGAAGATGCTGCTGAGTATCACTTCAGGAGGCTATGGTATAAAACTTTAGGAATAACCACAACAGAAATCAAATTCTTGGGGGAATAATATGCAAGTTTTAAAACAATCCTACTTTTTTTTTTCTTTAATTAAAAAGAAGCACACATGGAATATTGCATAAAGTATTTCCTAATTATGCTGTTACTTTTTCAGAGTTGTGTCAGAACACACTTTACTGGGATGCTCTGGATTACATGTAATTTTAAGGCAAATCATTATGAGGTAGGAAATATTTTTAGTTTTCTAATATATGATTGAGATACTGGGTATATTACATACCTAATCATGAGGAAAATAGCCTTGATTTGTATGCCAAGGAGTCCACTAGTTGAAGGATTAACTTTTTTTCTTCAAACATGCTAATTTAGTTTTGTACCTTCAAAGTCACATTCCACATCCTATACTGTATTCACTGATGATACCAAATTCGGCAAAAATATGTGTGTCAGTTTATGTAGACAAAGCTATCTTTCTTTATGCAAATTAAGTAAGTTGGTGTACAGTGGCACAATCTATGGCCTCAAAGGGTCTTTGGTATATCAGTGTGGGTTTTGTTCACAAACTGGTGCACTGCAAATTTGCAGGTGCAAATTTTGAAACCTCTTTCAAAAACATGGCACATCATTTCATTCCTAAAAAATGATTGGTATGCTAACCTAAGAATTTCATAGTGCAAATTATATTTCATTCTGAAAATTCATGAAGACCTAAATTTAAATAGATTGTCATCATTTTCTCAATCTAAAAGCACTGAAGAAACTAAATATATTTGAAGGTATTTTTCTGTGTAAATTCTGGCCCATCATATCTGCTGAGGCTAAGTAAACAGTTGGCAAGGAACTCCCTCTTGTGGTCAAACATTCTTAATTAGAAAAAGAGATTTTGTACTCAACTGATGTTCTGGATTATTAAAACATGGGTCACTTGTAACCATTAAGATTAACAGTACTGATATAAGTGCTTTTACTGAAGCAATTCATTGCAAATTAGGGCTGAATTCTGGAACATATGCTCTTAATTTTTCCTAAAACAGGGCTTTGCACTGCTGTTCAGGATAAAACCACTTTGATTACAATTTCTAAGATTTCTTATTTCTTTAAAAATATCATGGCACTCATTAACAATTATACACACACCAAAAAAACAGACACATCGAGTGTAAGACATTTATGAATTGAGTATTGTAAGAAGTGCAAATTCTCTTTATTTTGATCTCAGCACTTTATTTCTAATAGTCTCTAAAACTGTAGGACCGTTCAATATTTTTATAAGCAGTGAGAGAAAGAGTTCCCATATGCTGTTAACCAGTGCTCTCCCAGACTACATGTGGCAACAGATTCTACTGTCAGAGGTAATGCATGCCTGACACCCAATCAAAAATGTCCTAAATACTTATTATGAATGAGACAAATTACTAGACACATAATGAAACTGACAAATTATCATTTTTTTTTCTGATCATTTGACTTAAGCAGCACTTCCAACTACTTCCCAAGATTGGTAATAGACAGAAACTGTCTGCCATAGTACTGAATATGCAATTCATTTTCATGATAGCAAATTAAAACCTGATGCCAAGAATCCCAGGATTTGTCCTGACAGCACATCAAAGCTTGTGAAAAAGGCTGTGCTCTTAGATCAGGTCACTGCTGCCAGTTCAAATACTAACTGTACAATCTGAAAACTTCTTTTCTGGATGACTTTCAATATGAGCAAAGGAAAGATCTAAAGTTAGAGTCATTATTTAAGAAAAAAAAAGAGAGAGAGAGAGGTGCTGATTGTATAGGTTCTACAGTTTGTGCAAGCAATATCTACATGTGAGAGAGCTATTTCTGTATGTGTGCTGGTTCCAACATACCTTTGCCTGTCTAAAGTTAAACACTCAATTAATCATCACCCAAATGATGCACTTATGCTTCCTTTACATAAACTAGGTAAGAATACACATAGAAGGACAAAATTGTTTGTCTTTAAGTTTTTGTTCACATTTCCTAGCTGCTCTTATCATTAAGTTTTATTGACTCTTGGTGTATTCTGTCTTAATTGTTTTTCTTATCTTTTAAACATACAAAACTCAGTATGTTCACTATAGAAAAATCAGAAGTATACACATTTTTATATTGGAAATGTAATAAGCATTTGTGTTTCCCAATATATGAGTAAATTTGTAATCATTTTAGTAGCATTATTTCACAGACATTGACTCTTTTTCATGTTTGTTTTTTTTAGCAATCTCACTTTTAATAGCAAGCATACTCTTTATTACATGAGTGAATTGTTATGTATTTACTCAATCCATCATAGGTGGAAATGTTTAAAATCTTTTTAACTTTTCCAGTATTAATAGAAAGGGATATTTACTTAGTTATATCTTTATATGCATAGTTATTTAATAATTTAAACTAGTTTCAAATTAGTGAGTTATGCCAGATGAAAGGTGACAATATTTTGATTAATGTATTTTTACTTTTATTTAAAAATCATATATATTTTAGTATGTTTTAAATATATTTCATGGATTCATTTTCAATTAAATCAAATATGGAATGCATAAATATTATTAAAATAATATTTATGTAATATTTTTCCCCAAATAAAAATAGCTTTCTATCACCAGAAAATAATTAATTAAACTCTGAGCACAAACTCAGGTTCTTTGCAAAGGAAATAATGTTAATAATCAATAAATATATAATCCAGGCTATGAGCACCATTTATATTCCTTTACTCTATAATTTTACTCCACTCCATCATATTAATATTAAGACCCTATAATACTTTGGAAATTAAAAGAATGTCTTCAAAATACTGAGTTCCTTGCACACTTAGAAGAAATTTCGAGTAAATTAGCTTCTCTTAAAAGTAATTATTGGTTTGTAATATATTTTCCTGCAATATATTTTCCAGAATAATAATTTATGTCATGAGGGAAAAAAGAGTAGGGTAGTATCTATGTACAAAATTTATCTTTTTTAGCTCTCTTTATATGTATCTTTCTATTCCACGTTTAATCTAAGATTCCATTGATTGTAAAGTGTACAATTCATTTTGGTGCCATTAAGAAAAAAAAACCTCTACCAATTATAATTATATCATGGACTATAAGACAAGATTCTCTCTTAGAGAGGTTAAAAGTTTAGAATCAATGTCTTAGAATTAATGCACCATATAGTTAGAGGCATACAATATATAAAGAAATGTAAATAATTATCTAAAATTATAATTATATTTACCAATAAGAATATATAACTACAGGGATATACCGTAGAACTCTGGCCATGGTATTTACGATGGTACCATGTACATTTAAGACTGTATTTATGATTCTTTAAAAAAATTAATTTAATTAAACATTTTAATTTAACATGACAACATTTAACACCTTAACATATTTTTTTTCTGGAGTATACATTATGAATGTATGTTTTAGCCATCTGTAGGTAATAAACTATTATATAAAAAGTATATATAGGTAAAAAAATAACACATTTCTCTAGAGTAAATGCATTGTCTCTGCAAATATTTTGAAATGCTGGGTAAGGTTTTGTTCAAATACTGAATGAATATAGACAGTTTTCACATACCATTAATAAACTTAGAGTCATAAAAAAGTAGAAAATACATTTATATCTCTTTACTTTTATATGCATATAAGTATATCTGATGCTAAGTAATCTGGTTTTAGAGAATTACAAAATAGCTCTTGATAAAACAGTGACTCAACTAATTTTACGCAATATAAATTTTAAGGTAAATAAAATTTGCTAAGTCTAAGATGGCTGGCCTACATTGTCTCTTCTGTGCCTATGTCAGACACTGCTACCATGTTTCTTTAACTCTAAGATGTCATCAATCATGAGACACACCATTATTTTATGTTCAATTTAAAAACAGAAAAATACGGTTGCCAACTAGACTTTAACATGCCATTGAGTGCAAGACACACCCCAATTTCAGAGAGGGAAAATGATCTACTCTAGAATATATGGAACATTATAGTCAACCATGACACCTTTTTCTAGTAAGTTTGAATACAGTCTCAGAGAATTTTGCAATGCAACATTCTCTATAGACAGACCAATTGAGAGGTGAGAAATTGTGACATGGGAATCACTAAATGTTGAGAACTCCCTGTGACAGCAAAGGGAAATTTGAAATAGTCTAGTAAGGAAAGAGGTAGAGGTCCAGAATATTCAGTGCCTCTCTGATACTGTAGTTTTAATAAGTTCATTTACTGAAGGAATTTCCCCAAAACACATCTTTCTACTTTCATTTACCTATTGACAAGTGACTGGAATTGATACAGGAAGAAGGAAAGAAAAACCAGGAAGAGAGAGAAAGAAAAAAAGATTGCATTAACCAAGTCTTATGTTTTAGGGCTGATTCATAGGTATTTCATGTGTATTTTTTAATGTGACATTGCTCCATCTTTACAGATAGAAGGCCTGAGGCTTTGGTAAGTGAATAATCTCTCTAAATTAACACAGCCTTCAGGAGCAGTTGTTGGAATTAATATTGAAATCTGTCTGATTCCAAATCTTATGTCTTCTTCACTACCTTAAAACACCACTCTGAAATTTATTTGCAGAAAATTTTGTTTCACAAATCTATTCAGCAAATGAAGACATACCTGTACACAATCAAAACCAGAATTTCCTGATGTGGTCTAGATATTAGATTTATAATTTATTTTTTCTGGTATATTATGGTTATTTGCCTACTGTTTGACAACCTCCAGAAATACTTGCTACTAACATCTGATTACCACTCTAACTCCCAGTAATATTCTCACTTACTCTTCTTTACCTTTGGCTGTAGACTTCTGTATCTTGTCATTCATTTCAAGATGCTGGGGCTAGAGTTTCTCAAGTTCTTCTGTTATCTCCTTTGGTCTCATTCAACAATCACAAAAACTTAGAAAGATGGAACTGCTCCTGAATTGCTGGACTAGCCTATAATATAATTTTCAGTAAGACTATGTATTTTATTTGTTGTGTAATCATATCTTTTTAAAACAGAATATGACTTAGCCTAATTAATAAAATGTTTCATTTTAAAATTACTGAAATTCCTCAAACAAGGTCACTGCATGTCAAAGGAGAGATGATTTATGGTAAGAAAGTGAAATAAGATCAGTTAGCCACAATATTTTTGGAGGAAATTGACTGTACCTTTTAGCAAACTAACTTACTTGTTCATTCTAAGGAGACGTTTTGTTCTTTGTGGAACATGCTACTTCACTTTAAGGCATTCTCTGCGAAGAAGTTGTTCCCTCTGGTACCTGAAACTACTGCATAAACCTATAATGATTTTTTTTTTGTGGTCACCATAACTCTCTTGAGTGTATTACTCCAGTTTAAAGTGGCCCCTCAATTGTAAATGGTCAAATTGTTACATGGAACATTTATACATGGTACTTCTTGAAGCAAGAGTGAAATTGAGTGTTTTTGTGCCACACCAGGGACCCAACGTGTTCCAATAGATAAGCCACTGGCCTCAGGATGTAAAATCCTTCATACTTTCATTTTGCTCATATGTTTTGCCATCTATTTTGAGCCATAATAAGATTTTAAAATCTTGTTCATTTGAATTCAAAGACATTAAAAACACCAAAAGAAATAATTTTAGAAATTAGATATTTTACTTCAACTGAAATCAAGCAAGTACTTAAGCCACTTCTTTGGTGAAAAAAATTACTAAAAATATTGTATGTTTTTCAAGGAGAAGGGTGTCATGAGAACAAAAAAATAAAACTTTGTTTATTACAGTGGTGTTACTCTACTTCTAGGCTGTCTATGAATGGTTAAATGGTGGTCTCTAAGTTCTTGGCAAGATTTTAAAAACATTTCATGGAAAGTCAATATAAGATTACAAGTAAAATGTTCACATCCTTGCTTCTGACTGAAATTATATGACCTAACTATTTTGACACTATTTTTAAAGCCTTCAAAAATGTTACTGGTGATTATTTAATGTTTAATTTTAAAATAGAAAAATAGTTACAGCTATTGGTAGGGATTCTAAATTCATCAAGGAAAATAAAAGAGATAATTTACGCTAAAAATGTTTGAGCTTAGAAGATTTGTAATTCATCTTCTTTAATGTTAAGCTTCTAAACAAAGAAGACACTTTTAAGAATACAAAATTCCTTTGCAAAACATTGAGTATCAATAATTTCATGATTTAAAGAACTACTTATATAATTGTCATTTTAATGTATAAATATTAAAATTTTCCCAGTCACAAAATACAAAACATACGTTCTTCCTTGTTATCCTGCTTTCTTTAATGAATATAGTTTCTTCCCCTTGAACATTTTATAGTGAATGGGTATAATATTAACTGGCAATTGATTCAAGTGACCCTCATGTACTACTAGATGTGAAATGATGGAACAAGTTTCTCCGTTACTGTTACCATTTGGGATAAAGAAATGGAGAGACAGCTTCCATGAAAACATGAAAATGCCAGGAGCAATTCTTAAGTCATTCTCATCTAGCACCCTAATAAGAAAGTGGTTCTTCCCATCTAAGAGAGTAAATTCTGATTCTCTCCATTGCTACAGCCTGAGAGTATGCAGTGTAACCGAGAGAGGACACAGTGGCCAAGATCTGTGAGCCAAACCAAACCAATCCTGTATTAATAAAAAATAAATTATGATTTTTTTAGATGGGAGAACTACCAGTCACCAGGTAACATAAAAACCCTAGTTAAAGATCTCTTTCAGCAATTGTCATTTATATATTCCTGGGCTGGATGCAACTCACCAGAGTTTTATTTTTAAAAATGATTCCTAGTTAGAAGGTAAAAAATGTAACCAACATTCCATTCAAAAAGTTGGTTTACTTTTATTTTGTTTTTCTACTTTACTGATGAGATATAAGAGAGCCAGAGAAAGATCACTTGAATATAAATTTAAAGATAAGAATTTTACATATTGTTTAGACCACAGAATTCAGAGACAGATTATGTAGGTTCAAGTCTCTCATTCACCAATGGCCAGTGATGTAACTTTAGATAAATTACTTAAGTCAGTTGAATCAATATTCATATATGTAAATTGAGGATAATACTACAAGTGAATGTAATACATGTTAACAATAGTGCAAATATTTTGTTAGTAAAATGATGTAGCTTTGAGCCTCAATTTTTTCATAAATAAATAGGAATTGGAACAAATAATCTCCATTTGTCAACTCCATTTCAGATATTTTATATTAATTTTTAATAGTAAAAATATTATAAAAATCATTTTCCATGCCCTCTCCAAGATAGATGACACTAATGGGAAAATACATAATTTTGCCCTAGCATGATGTTAACTTTGGTGTAATGGCCCTTCCTATACATAAATAAGGTCTTTATTAAGTTTAAGAGCATATAAACAACAAATCTGGGAATCAATTATTACCTTCTGTGTAAGAAGGTATGAAATATAGGGAAATGGGGGGAGGAGCCAAGATGGCCGAATAGCAACAGCTCCGGTCTACAGCTCCCAGCGTGAGCGACGCAGAAGACGGGTGATTTCTGCATTTCCATCTGAGGTACCAGGTTCATCTCACTAGGGAGTGCCAGACAGTGGGCGCAGGTCAGTGGGTGTGCGCACCGTGCGCGAGCTGAAGCAGGGCGAGGCATTGCCTCACTTGGGAAGTGCAAGGGGTCAGGGAGTTCCCTTTCTGAGTCAAAGAAAGGGGTGATGGACGCACCTGGAAAATCGGGACACTCCCACCCGAGTACTGCGCTTTTCCGACGGGCTTAAAACATGGCACACCACGAGATTATATCCCGCACCTGGCTTGGAGGGTCCTACGCCCACGGAGTCTCACTGATTGCTAGCACAGCAGTCTGAGATCAAACTGCAAGGCGGCAGCAAGGCTGGCGGAGGGGCGCCCGCCATTGCCCAGGCTTGATTAGGTAAACAAAGCAGCCTGGAAGCTCGAACTGGGTGGAGCCCACTACAGCTCAAGGAGGCCTGCCTGCCTCTGTAGGCTCCACCTCTGGGGGCAGGGCACAGACAAACAAAAAGACAGCAGTAACCTCTGCAGACTTAAATGTCCCTGTCTGACAGCTTTGAAAAGAGCAGTGGTTCTCCCACCACGCAGCTGGAGATCTGAGAACGGGCAGACTGACTCCTCAAGTGCCTGACCCCCAAGCAGCCTAACTGGGAGACACCCCCCAGGAGGGGCATACTAACACCTCACACAGCAGGGTACTCCAACAGACCTGCAGCTGAGGGTCCTCTCTGTTAGAAGGAAAACTAACAAACAGAAAGGACATCCACACCAAAAACCCATCTGTACATCACCATCATCAAAGACCAAAAGTAGATGAAACCACAAAGATGGGGAAAAAACAGAACAGAAAAACTGGAAACTCTAAAAAGCAGAGCGCCTCTCCTCCTCCAAAGGAACACACTTCCTCACCAGCAACGGAACAAAGCTGGATGGAGAATGACTTTGATGAGCTGAGAGAAGAAGGCTTCAGACGATCAAATTACTCTGAGCTATGGGAGGACATTCAAACCAAAGGCAAAGAAGTTGAAAACTTTGAAAAAAATTTAGAAGAATGTATAACTAGAATAACCAATACAGAGAAGTGCTTAAAGGAGCTGATGGAGCTGAAAACCAAGGCTCGAGAACTACGTGAAGAATACAGAAGCCTCAGGAGCCGATGCGATCAACTGGAAGAAAGGGTATCAGCAATGGAAGATGAAATGAATGAAATGAAGTGAGAAGGGAAGTTTAGAGAAAAAAGAATAAAAAGAAATGAGCAAAGCCTCCAAGAAATATGGGACTATGTGAAAAGACCAAATCTACGTCTGATTGGTGTACCTGAAAGTGATGGGGAGAATAGAACCAAGTTGGAAAACACTCTGCAGGATATTATCCAGGAGAACTTCCCCAATCTAGCAAGGCAGGCCAACGTTCAGATTCAGGAAATACAGAGAACGCCACAAAGATACTCCACGAGAAGAGCAACTCCAAGACACATAATTGTCAGATACACCAAAGTTGAAATGAAGGAAAAAATGTTAAGGGCAGCCAGAGAGAAAGTTCGGGTTACCCTCAAAGGGAAGCCCATCAGACTAACAGCGGATCTCTCGGCAGAAACCCTACAAGCGAGAAGAGAGTGGGGGCCAATATTCAACATTCTTAAAGAAAAGAATTTTCAACCCAGAATTTCATATCCAGCCAAACTAAGCTTCATAAGTGAAGGAGAAATAAAATACTTTACAGACAAGCAAATGCTGAGAGATTTTGTCACCACCAGGCCTGCCCTAAAAGAGCTCCTGAAGGAACCGCTAAACATGGAAAGGAACAACCGGTACCAGCCGCTGCAAAATCATGCCAAAATGTAAAGACCATCGAGACTAGGAAGAAACTGCATCAACTAACGAGCAAAATCACCAGCTAACATCATAATGACAGGATCAAATTCACACATAACAATATTAACTTTAAATGTAAATGGACTAAATGCTCCAATTAAAAGACACAGACTGGCAAATTGGATAAAGAGTCAAGACCCATCAGTGTGCTGTATTCAGGAAACCCATCTCACATGCAGAGACACACATAGGCTCAAAATAAAAGGATGGAGGAAGATCTACTGAGCCAATGGAAAACAAAAAAAGGCAAGGGTTGCAATCCTAGTCTCTGATAAAACAGACTTTAAACCAACAAAGATCAAAAGAGACAAAGAAGGCCATTACATAATGGTAAAGGGATCAATTCAGCAAGAAGAGCTAACTATCCTAAATATATATGCACCCAATACAGGAGCACCAAGATTCATAAAGCAAGTCCTGAGTGACCTACAAAGAGACTTAGACTCCCACACATTAATAATGGGAGACTTTAACACCCCACTGTCAACATTAGACAGATCAATGAGACAGAAAGTCAACAAGGATACCCAGGAATTGAACTCAGCTCTGCACCAAGCGGACCTAATAGACATCTACAGAACTCTCCACCCCAAATCAACAGAATATACATTTTTTTCAGCACCACACCACACCTATTCCAAAATTGACCACATACTGGGAAGTAAAGCTCTCCTCAGCAAATGTAAAAGAACAGAAATTATAACAAACTATCTCTCAGACCACAGTGCAATCAAACTAGAACTCAGGATTAAGAATCTCACTCAAAACGGCTCAACTACCTGGAAACTGAACAACCTGCTCCTGAATGACTACTGGGTACATAACGAAATGAAGGCAGAAATAAAGATGTTCTTTGAAACCAATGAGAACAAAGACACAACATACCAGAATCTCTGGGATGCATTGAAAGCAGTATGTAGAGGGAAATTTATAGCACTAAATGCTCACAAGAGAAAGCAGGGAAGATCCAAAACTGACACCCTAACATCACAATTAAAAGAAGTAGAAAAGCAAGAGGAAACACTTTCAAAAGCTAGCAGAAGGCAAGAAATAACTAAAATCAGAGCAGAACTGAAGGAAATAGAGACACAAAAAACCCTTCAAAAAATTAATGAATCCAGGAGCTGGTTTTTTGAAAGGATCAACAAAATTGATAGACCACTAGCAAGACTAATAAAGAAAAAAAGAGAGAAGAATCAAATAGATGCAATAAAAAATGATAAAGGGGATATCACCACCGATCCCACAGAAATACAAACTACCATCAGAGAATACTACAAACACCTCTACGCAAATAAACTAGAAAATCTAGAAGAAATGGATAAATTCCTCAACACATACACTCTCCCAAGACTAAACCAGGAAGAAGTTGAATCTCTGAATAGACCAATAACAGGCTCTGAAATTGTGGCAATAATCAATAGCTTACCAGCCAAGAAGAGTCCAGGACCAGATGGATTCACAGCCGAATTCAACCAGAGGTACAGGGAGGAACTGGTACCATTCCTTCTGAAACTATTCCAATCAATAGAAAAAGAGGGAATCCTCCCTAACTCATTTTATGAGGACAGCATCATTCTGATACCAAAGCCAGGCAGAGACACAACAAAAAAAGAGAATTTTAGACCAATATCCTTGATGAACATTGATGCAAAAATCCTCAATAAAATACTGGCAAACCGAATCCAGCAGCACATCAAAAAGCTTATCCACCATGATCAAGTGGGCTTCATCCCTGGGATGCAAGGCTGGTTCAATATACGCAAATCAATACATGTAATCCAGCATATAAACAGAGCCAAAGACAAAAACCACATGATTATCTCAATAGATGCAGAAAAAGCCTTTGACAAAATTCAACAACCCTTCATGCTAAAAACTCTCAATAAATTAGGTATTGATGGGATGTATATCAAAATAATAAGAGCTATCTATGACAAACCCACAGCCAATATCATACTGAATGGGCAAAAACTGGAAGCATTCCCTTTGAAAACTGGCACAAGACAGGGATGCCCTCTCTCACCACTCCTATTCAACATAGTGTTGGAAGTTCTGGCCAGGGCAATTAGGCAGGAGAAGGAAATAAAGAGTATTCAATTAGGAAAAGAGGAAGTCAAATTGTCCCTGTTTGCAGATGACATGATTGTATATCTAGAAAACCCCATTGTCTCAGCCCAAAATCTCCTTAGGCTGATAAGCAATTTCAGCAAAGTCTCAGGATACAAAATCAATGTACAAAAATCACAAGCATTCTTATACAACAACAACAGACAAACAGAGAGCCAAATCATGAGTGAACACCAATTCACAATTGCTTCAAAGAGAATAAAATACCTAGGAATCCAACTTACAAGGGATGTGAAGGACCTCTTCAAGGAGAACTACAAACCACTGCTCAAGGAAATAAAAGAGGATACAAAGAAATGGAAGAACATTCCATGCTCATGGGTAGGAAGAATCAATATCGTGAAAATGGCCATACTGCCCAAGGTAATTTACAGATTCAATGCCATCCCCATCAAGCTACCAATGACTTTCTTCACAGAATTGGAAAAAACTACTTTAAAGTTCATATGGAACCAAAAAAGAGTCCGCATCACCAAGTCAATCCTAAGCCAAAAGAACAAAGCTGGAGGCATCACACTACCTGACTTCAAACTATACTACAAGGCTACAGTAACCAAAACAGCATGGTACTGGTACCAAAACAGAGATCTAGATCAATGGAACAGAACAGAGCCCTCAGAAATAACGACGCATATCTACAACTATCTGATCTTTGACAAACCTGACAAAAACAAGCAATGGGGAAAGGATTCCCTATTTAATAAATGGTGCTGGGAAAACTGGCTAGCCATATGTAGAAAGCTGAAACTGGATCCCTTCCTTACACCTTATACAAAAATTAATTCAAGATGGATTAAAGACTTAAACGTTAGACCTAAAACCATAAAAACCCTAGAAGAAAACCTAGGCATTACCATTCAGGACATAGGCATGGGCAAGGACTTCATGTCTAAAACACGAAAAGCAATGGCAACAAAAGCCAAAATTGACAAATGGGATCTCATTAAACTCAAGAGCTTCTGCACAGCAAAAGAAACTACCATCAGAGTGAACAGGCAACCTACAAAATGGGAGAAAAGTTTCGCAACCTACTCATCTGACAAAGGGCTAATATCCAGAATCTACAATGAACTCAAACAAATTTACAAGAAAAAAAAAAAAACCCCATCAAAAAGTGGGCGAAGGACATGAACAGACACTTCTCAAAAGAAGACATTTGTGCAGCCAAAAAACACATGAAAAAATGCTCATCATCACTGGCCATCAGAGAAATGCAAATCAAAACCACAATGAGATGCCATCTCACACCAGTTAGAATGGCAGTCATTAAAAAGTCAAGAAACAACAGGTGCTGGAGAGGATGTGGAGAAATAGGAACACTTTTACACTGTTGGTGGGACTGTAAACTAGTTCAACCAATGTGGAAGTCAGTGTGGCGATTCCTCAGGGATCTAGAACTGGAAATACCATTTCACCCAGCCATCCCATTACTGGGTATATACCCAAAGGACTATAAATCATGCTGCTATAAAGACACATGCACACGCATGTTTATTGCGGCATTATTCACAATAGCAAAGACTTGGAACCAACCCAAATGTCCAACAGTGATAGACTGGATTAAGAAAATGTGGCACATATACACCATGGAATACTGTGCAGCCATAAAAAATGATGAGTTCACGTCCTTTGTAGGGACATGGATGAAATTGGAAATCATCATTCTCAGTAAACTATCGCAAGAACAAAAAACCAAACACTGCATATTCTCACTCATAGGTGGGAATTGAACAATGAGATCACATGGACACAGGAAGGGGAACATCACACTCTGGGGACTGTTGTGGGGTGGGGGGAGGGGGGAGGGATAGCATTGGGAGATATACCTAATGCTAGATGACGAGTTAGTGGGTGCAGCGCACCAGCATGGCACATGTATACATATGTAACTAACCTGCACAATGTGCACATGTACCCTAAAACTTAAAGTATAATTAAAAAAAAATAAAATAAAAAATAAAGTACATTTCATGCTTAGGTCAAAAAAAAAAAAGAAATATAGGGAAATGAGTGTGGTATATTTAGAAGATAAAATATTTGAAGAAGAATTATGGGAAAAGATAGAAAAATGAAGAAAGAATAAAACAGAGGGAAACTATGTAGCTGGTAGAGGTAAGAGTGACTGGGGGAAAGTGTTTGTGAAATACTCTTCTATAAATGTTCATCAAGATATCCACAACTGGTATATCTAAAAATCCCAATATACTTTAAATAGACATATACATAAATAAAAAGAAGAAAAAATAATACTTGTGCTCTCATTATACGTAGAAGACAAAGACAAAAAAAGATTAACTGAAAGTAAGAATATAAATTAAACACCCAATTTAGTGAGTTATCTCTTGTATTTCACTGCAAGTCAACATGGAGAGCAAGAATAGTCTGGGAATATCTGTGTGAAAATAAAAAAAAATGGCTGATGGCAGGTCTAAAATTAGTCTAAAGCCACCATCGGAAAGAGGAAATTCACCTTTCCTGTTAAATTAAAGTACTTATATGAGAAAGATATTTAAAAGTTCATGTAAGATGAAGAGCCAATCTTGGAAAGGTAGCATTTTGGAGGAAAGAAGGTTAAAAGTAAGGGAGAGATGGCCTCTGGGAAACTTCATAATGAAGGAGAAAGAAAAAATAAGGAAAGGAGTGAAATTTAAGATCTCCCTTATGAAAGAAAATAAACAAATTCAAGTATGCACTGCCTCTCACCTACCACCTTGCTACAGAAAAAAAAGAAAGAGAGAAGGAGGGAGAGAGAGAGAGAGACAGGAAGAAAGGGAAGGAAGGAAAGAAAGAAAGAAGAAAGACTTTAATGATAATGGAGAAAAAATCCTCATGGTCCCCAGGCAAAAAAAAAAAAAGATAAAAACTTCACATGAATTAGAATGGCAAAACTTCACATGAATTAGAATGGCAAAACTTCACATGAATTAGAATGGCATACAGAGTTAGAGTGGCATAAAACTTATTAGACATTGCTAAACCACATTCAAAGTAAGAAATCAATGAAGCAGAAAATTTAAAATATCTCACAGAGAAAAAGTGGGAAACAAAGCTTTTCTGTCTGCTCAAGACATTCAAGATATCCTTCACTTATTAATGTTATAAACAGCTTTAATCATACATGAGCTCAGGGAATTTTGTACACAAGAGTCCGTCTTGAGGGATCTATTAAAATGTGTGCATCCTCAAACTAAGTGGTGACTGGAAAAACTTCAGTAAATAGAGAGATGGTTAAGATTTAATATTTTAATTGCAGATCTAAGGCTAAATCACAAGTGGAGTGTTCATTTACTTGGGAAACAAATACCAAGATGAAACTACACATGTCAGAGATTTATTAGGGCTAAACACCCCTGAAGGATAAAATGGAGACCTTTAGAAAAGACAGTGATACTCTTTACACAAAATTCAGGTTTATGAATCACAAGATAAAGAAATGAGGGTTGAGTAGACTCAAATTTCTGCATGCTTCTCAAAAAGTTATGGCTAAGCCAACACGTTCTCAAACAAATTTCCTCATTAAAAGTTTCTCACATTCCTCATATCGTAGGAGCATGCAGAAAGCCTTGATATAATGTAAATTTGTGGTATATTCAGAAGGACAGTTGTTGAGACTATCAGTTAATAATGCTTCCTACTACAGGAGATCTGAGCTATGCAATTTTATGGCTTCCACTGTCCACTCTTTTCAGTATTGTTGTAGGACGTAGGATGAATGGCCCCACAAAGATGTCCCCAGAACCTACAAATGTGTTATATTACATGATAAAGAGACTTTGCGGCTGTAATTAATCAATCAGTTACCATAAAATAGAAAGATTCTCCTGGGCTATCTTCATTGTCTTAAACTAACGTTGCAAGGCCTTAACAGCAGAAAACTTTCTTTAACTGGAGGCAGAAGAGCTGTGGCAGAAGATGAAGTCAGAGCGATCTGAAGAATGAAAAGGACTGATATACCATTGTCAGTTTGAAGACAGAAGGAGCTACGTGATGAATAATGAAGATGGGCTTATGTAGCTGGGAAGGGCTCCTGTCTAAAATGAAAAGCATTTTAAAATGGTAAATTTCAAAGCAAATACATCAGTGATTATGTTAGCTTTAAGTGAACTAAAACTTCTAATTAAAAGACAAAATTAGTAAAAATTGACAGAAAACAATAGATTAATTAAAAGGTGTAGTAAAAGTAAATGAATAGAAAAAGATATGCAATGCAAACACTAACTAAAAGCAAGCTGTATTCATATTTGTGTAAGTAGCTTTTAAAGAAAAGAAGCATAAAATGACCTTAAAAGAAACATAATTACTTTAAAAATATAACTGAAGTAGTAACATGAACAATTTGTATGTGAGTAATACAAAAATGAGAAAATAAAAAGAAAAACATTTCAGAAGCAAAATGAAAAGTAGGCAAATCCATAATCACAAAAGAAAACATTAACACACATCGCTGAGAAAGTTATAAAACATGCAGACAAAAGTTTGAAATGATATATTTATAGAGTAATACCAATATAATTAAAAATTTGACATTATTGACATATATAAAACACTCTAACCACTGTAGATATATATTATTTATAAATATAAATAGAATATTTATCAAAATTGAATATTTGGGGGCAGAAAACAAATTTCAACAAAATTTATATAGAAAGAGTTATTTAGAGTATGTTCTCTGAATACATTGAAATTAACCTAAAATCATTAACAATAGTATAAACATACAATATGAAAATATATGGAAATTTAGTCTGAGGAACATAGAGAGGAAAAAAGAATAAAAAGCTAAACCATCTAAGATACTTGATTAGTTTGCTAGGACTGCCATAGCAAAGTGGCACAAACATAGAGGCTTAGCCTATAGAAAGGTATTGTCTCATTTCTGGAGACTAGAAATCTAAGATCAAGTTGTCATCAGTGCCATCCTCCCTCTAAAGGCACTCAGGAAGGATCTTTTCCAGGCCTCTTTTAGCTTCTGTTTGTTTTTTGGCTTGTGGTAGCATAACTCCAATCTTTGCATGGTGTTCTCCCTGTGTGCTTGTTTCTGTGTCCGGCTTTTATAAGGACACTTATCATATTGGATTGGGGGCCCACCTACTCAAGTATAATCTCATCTTAACAAGTAACATCTGCTAAGGCTGTATTTCCAAGTAAGTTCATAGGTATAGGTACTGCGGGTTAGGATTGCACCATTTCTCTTCAAGGACACAATTCAACCTACAGCAGGCCTCTGGTGGAAAAAGTGAACATACAATAATAGGATAATCATGCCAATCAAGGAGATGAAAACTCTAAACAAGAATCTAAAGGAAATACCAGAAATCAGTAACACTGTAACAGTAATAAAGACTCTTTGGTGGACTCAGTAGTAGACTGGATATGAGAAAGTATAAGTGAGCTTGTAGATATGTCGATGGAAACATCCTAAACAAAAATGCAAAGAGAAAAATGAGAAAATAATCCAATATCCAAAAGCTGTAGGACAATTATAAAAATTGGAAATACAAGGAAGACAACAAAGAGAGAAAAAAACAGAAAATGTTGGAGGTAATAATATCTAAGAATTTTCCAAAATTAGTAACAGATATCAAACCATATGTCCAGGAGGCTTAGAAAACAGAAAGCAGGATAAATACCAAAAACAAAACCAAGTAAAATAAAATAAAATTACACCCCCCAAAAAAAATAAAAAAAAAAACGAAGAGAATATACAAAGAGAAGCCAGAGAAAAATAAAATACTTACCTGTAGAAGAAACAGGATAAAATTATCACTGGACTGCTCTGCCAAAACAATGTAAGCAAGACGTGAGTGTAATGACATATTTAAAACGTTAAAAGGAAAAAAACAAACACCAACTGATAATTCCGTACTCAGTGACTAAAAGTGAAAGAGAAATACTTTCTTAGACACACAAAAACTAGAGAATATGTTGCTAATAGACTTGCCTTGAAAGAAATTCTGAAAGTAGTTTTTCAGAAAGAAAAAAATAATATCAGATCCATAAAATGAAAGGAAAAATACTAGAGATGGAATAAATGAAGGCAACATAAATTTTTTTTCTTATTTTTAATTGATCTAACATAACTGTTTTTCTCAAGATAAAAGTGGAACAATGTATTGGGCAAATATAGCTTCTGGACAAGTAACATGAATGACAACAATGAGAGATGGGTGGGTTGAATTGGGAATACTCTGGTTTAAGTTACAGAAAATATACAGGAAACAATCGAGTTGTATTTGAAAATGGACTTAGATTAATTTCAAATGTACATTGTAAACTCAAATGCAGCTACTGAAAACCTTTTTAAAAAATAAGTATGCTAAAAGAGGAGAGAAAATGGAATAATATAAAATAACCAATTGAAACCAAAGGAAGCAACAATTAGAGGAAATTTTTTAAAAAGAAACAAAGCGCAAGTGCAACAAACCAAACAGTTACAAGTATGGTAGATTTTAATCCAACTATATCAATAATAACTGTGAATGTGAATGATTCAAACACACAAAATAAAAACCAGGGACTGAGAGAGTACATTCAAAAAAGCAAGCTCCAGCTATTTGTTGTCTATAAGAGACCACATGAAATATCAAGACATAGATAAATTAAAAGTGTAGAGAAGCATATACAATGCTAACACTAATCAAAAGAATACTGAAGAAGCTATATTAACTTTAGAATTTAAAATTTCATAAAAAGCAGTATTTTCAGAGACAAAAAAATAATTACATAATGATATAAGGGCTAATTCTATAAGAAGTCATAACAATTCCTAATGTATATTTGCATATGAACAGAGCATCAAAATACATAAAGAAAAATGATTAGAATTGCAAGGAGAAACAGACAAATTTACTATTATAGTTGGATACTTCGTCATACTCCTATTAATAATTCATATATTCCATAGGCAGAAGATTATTAAGAGCATAGTCGAATTAAAAAGTATCATCAATAACCCTCCAAAATTTATGTTGAAACAACTACCAATGTGGCAGTATTAAGAGGTAGAGATTTGAGAAGTCACTGAGTCATGAGGGCTCCACTCTCATGAATGGATTAATCCATTAAGTGATTAATGTATTCATTGGTTATCATGGAAGAGATTGGGACTGGTGGTTATATAAGAACAGGAAGAAAGACCTAACCTTGGTGCCCTGCAAAGTCCAAACCAGCAAGAAGGTCCTAACCAGATGTAGATCCTTGATCTTGGACTTCTTATCCTCCATAACTGGAAGAAATAAATTTCTTGTCTTTGTATATTACCCAGTTTTAAGTATTCTGTTACATAAGGAACAGAAAACAGCTAAGACATCAATTATATTGATTTATTTAATTAACTTTATAGAATACTTCATCAAACAAAGCAGGAAACATATTCTTCTTAAACTCACATGGCATATTCACCAAGACAGGCCAAATTCTGGGCCATAAAATCAGCTTTCCAATTTTAAGATAATATGAATCTTATAAAGTCTTCTCTCAGACCACAATGAAATTAAACTAGAAATCATTAACAGAAAGTTAGCTAGAAAATTACAAATTTAGATGTGAAACAACACAATTTTAAATAACACATAAATCACAGGAGAACACTCGAAAGAAATTTTAAAATATTTTAACAAAATGAAATAAAAGTATAAAAATGTGTGAGATGCCGTGAAGGTAGTACTTACAGGGGAATTTATAACATTAAATGTATATATTTTTAAAAAGACATAAAAATCAATGATTTAAGTTTCTACCTTAAAGAACTAGAATAAGAAAAACATGATCCTTAAGGAAGCAAAAAAAAGATTACCAAAGTTAAAGCCAAAATTAATAAACTGAATACAGGGAACAATAGAGACACCTAAGAAAACCAATTGCTAATATGATAATTGAAACAGGGGCCGTCACTGCTGATTCTATACACATTAAAGGTTAATAAGGGAAGACTGTGAAAAACTTTGTGCCCATAAATTCGATAACTTGGGTGAAATGAATGAACTCCTGGAAAAACATGATCTAGGAAACCTCCAGGGATAAATTAATAATTTGAATAGGTTGACATCTATTAAATTGAATCAAAAATTAATAATCTTCCCATACTGAAAGTAATAGGAAAAGCTGGTTTAACTGGTGAATTTGACCATGCAGTTGAGGAACAAATAACACCAATTCTCTACAATCTCTTCCTGGAAACAGAAGCAGAGGAGAAACTTTATAACTCATTCTACAAGGCCAGCACTACCCAAAGGCCAAAAGCAAATGAAGACATCACAAGAAATAAATTATTACAACTAATTCATCTTCTGAACATAATTCAAAAATCCTCAATGAATATGAGAAAACGTAATCCAACAATGTATAAAAAATATACACTGCAGGCACATCAGATTTACTTTAGGTTTGGAAAGCTGGTTCAACATTAGAAAACTGGTTAATGTAATTCATCACATCAATAGAAGGTTAATGTAATTCATCACATCAATAGAATACAAAAGAAAAATTATATAATAATGTCAATTGACACAGAAAAGGTATTTGACAAAATTCAAAACTCATACATGATAAAACTCACAGTGAACTAGGAATAAAAGGGAATTTTCTCAACTTGATAAAGAATATTTACAAAAATCTACAACTAACTTCATACTTAGTGATAAGAAACTAGATGATCAGGAACAAGGCAAGAATATCCCCTCTCACCACTCCTATTTAACAAGGTACTAGAAGTCCCAGCTAATGCAATAAGAAAAAGAAAAAAAGAAAATACATGTGTTGGGAAAGAAAAAATAAAGTTGTTTTTGTTCACATATGAATCAATATCTATGTCAAATAATTAGCCAAATAATTAACAAAAAAGAATGCTAGAATTAATAAGTAATTTTAAAAGTTGGCAGAATATGAGGTTAATATAGAAAAGTCAATTTCTTCCTTCTATATCATCAGCGAGCAATTGTAGTATAAAATTAAACACACACCATTTACATTAGCACCATAAAAAGACATGTTTAGTTATAAATCTAATAAAAATATTTAAAAGATCTCTATGAGGAAAACTACAAAACTGATTAAATATATTCAGAAAAATGTAAATAAATGGAAAGACACTCCATGTTCAAGTATAGGAAGACTCAATACTTTTAAGATGTCATCTCTCACCAACTTGATCTATAGATCTATAGATACAGTAAATTCCCAATCAAACATAAAGCAAATTATTTTGTGAATATTGATAAAATAATAGATGGAAAGTCAAATGCTCAGGGTAGCCAATACAGTACTCCAGAAAAAGGCCAAATTTAGAGAACTTACACTACTCAACTTCATGATTTACTATAAGCTCCAGTAACCAAAAGAACATGGTTCTGAAAATAATGACAAACAGATCAATGGAAGGTAATAACAAGCCCGCAAATAACCCAAACAAATTTAGTCAACTGATTATTGACCAAGGCATAAAGACAATTCAACAGAGAAAAGATAGTCATTTTCAACCAGTGGGCCTGAAACAACTGAACATCCACAAGCAACAAATGAACTTAGAAACAAATCTTAACACTTTTCACAAAAATTGATGTAAAGTGTAATATAGATTTAAATGTAAAATGCAAAACAGTAAAATTTCTAAAAGACAATATTAAAATTAACAACTTTTGCTCTGTAAAAGACACTGTTAAAGAATGAAAACATAAGCCACAAACTGGGGAAAAAATAGTTGCAAAACATATCTGATAAAGGAAATATTTAAAAATTATGTATACTCTTTAAAAAACCGAACAATAAGTCAAAATGCTAATTAAAAAGTGGGCAAAATTTCTGGACTGATAACTCACTAAAGAAGATAAACATGGCAAATAAACATATGAAAAAATATGTCATTAGGAAATTGCAAATTAAAACAACAATAAAATACCACTACCCATCTCTTAGAATGGCTAAAATCCAAAGCACTGACTAATACCAAATGGTGGCTAGTATGTGGAGCAACAGAAACTCTCATTTGTTGCTAATGAAAATGCAAAATATTACACCCACTTTGGAAGACAGATTGGCAGTTTCTTACAAAGATATTTATAGGCTTACCATATGATTCCGGAATTAAATTCCTAAGGTATTTTTTTTCTATTGAGTTAAAAGCTTAATGTCCACACAAAAACCTGTGCACAAATGTTTATAGCAGTTTTTTTCATAATTGCCAACAACCAGAAGCAATCAAAATGTCCTAAAAGATTAACAGATAAATTGATTACATTATATTTATATAATGAAACATTATTAAGTTATAAAAAGAAATGATCAAAGTGCAACACGATATGGAGGACCTTTAAATACATATTTCTAAATGAAAGAAGGCAGCCTGAAAAAGCTACACAGTGTATAGTTTTAACAATATGACATTCTGGAGTAGGCAAAACTATAGAGACAAAAAAAAAATCAGTGGTTTTCATGGGTTTGAGGTAGGGGATGATCAGTGTTTATAAGGGTTTGAAACAGGTATGAATAGGTGAAAAACAGAGGATTTTTAAGAGAGTGAAACTATTATACATGATACTGTAATGGTGGACACATGAGATGCATTTGTCAAAATCCATAAAACTGTACAACACGATGAGTAAATCCTTATGTAAACTATGAACTTGAGTTAATAAAAAGAAGAAACTTTATATTTGATTTGCATCAATGGATTTTGGTGAATGTAAAATAAATTGCATCTTCACTTTCAAGATGCCTAATATAAATTATTAATTGCACATTACATCAGCTAAATTATGTAGGACTCCAAAAGAAACTAAAAACTAAAAATTTTGAAAAACCAATCAATATTAATGTTTCTAAGATATAGGCTACAAATTTTTTATATTTGTATTCAATTGATTAAGATTATATCTATCTAAAATATTGATTTCATTATCTCGGAACCATATGTGTTGTGGGCTGAATTGTGATCCATGCTCAGATTTCAATATCCAGATGTTAAAAACCCTAACCACCAGTACATAAGACTATGTCTGTATTCTGACATAGAATATTTAAAGGGGTGATTAAATTAAACCGAGGTGACTAGGTTGGGCCCCAATCCAATATGACTGGTACCTTCATAAGAAGTGGAGATTAGGATGCACAGAGGGAACACCACCCGAAGATTATGAACTATGCTAAAAGAATATTTACTTCGATTTTCGTTTGCTCCATTGACAGGACTTAATCTAAATTGTGATTTTGTGTGTGCACTATGTCTGTTTGTATATGTTTGTGTAGGTGAGCTTATGTGTGTCTGCATGAGTGTATGTACGTAGATATATGTGTGCATATATAGATAGTGTGTGCATATATGTCTATATGCATGCACATGTGTATGAATGCCAACATATGGCTATACACATTTCTGTCTACATGTGGGCAAATATGTGTGTAAATGTTTTCATGCATGCACTTTTGTTTGCAGGTGTATGTGTGTGTATGAAAATATATGAATATATATGTGTGTGTACAGATGTATGCGTGTGAGGTGGCCTCCTCAGTTCTAAGCATAGTTTTTAGCATGCAAAAATTTTTTGATTGAATGAAATAATGAGTATATGGTTTTCAATTTATTTTATTTTAGTCTCAAATTTATTTTATTTTAGTCTCAATATATTTTCTATGTAATTCTGAAATATGTTTACATTGCTTTCATTAAAATAATAATTTTATTGTTTTATTCATACAAGAAATATGACTTTATTTGGAAGAAGTGAACAGGGTTTAAAGTCATATTTTTTCCTGTCCTCTGTTTTCTGTAATTTTTATACATAATATATTACATTTAGCCTAAGATAATACTATGTATTCCAAACATAATGTATGTTATATGACCTCTAACTGGTATTCAAGGTTAAAAAATTAAAACTTAGACTCCAATGAATGGTAGTACTGATGAAAGATCATAATTTTGTAAAGTTTTAGTGTTTGTACATAAACAATGATTGCAAAGCTTACAACCATTGTTCTTTCACTAAAATATGTAAAATAAATATTTTAATATATACTTTAAACATGTTTGCTTCATTTTTTCATGAGTTAAAAACTGATTGCTATTTTTTTTCATTTTTATTTTAAGTTCATGGGTACATGTGCAGATTTGTTATATAGGTAAACTTGTATCATGAAGGATTGTTGTACAGATTGCTTTGTCACACAGGTATTAAGCCTAGTGCCCATTAGTTATTTTTCCTGATCTTCTTCTTCCTCTCACCCTCCACCATCAGGTAGGTCCCAGTGTCTGTTGTTCCCCTCTATGTGTCTGTGTGTTTTCATCATTTAGCTCCCTCTTATAAGTGAGAACATGTGGTATTTGGTTTTCTGTTTCTGTGTTAGTTTGCTAAGGATAATGGACTCCAGCTCCACCCATGTTCTTGCAAAGGACATAATATTGTTCTTTTTTGTGGCTGCATAGTATTCCACGGTGTATATGCACCACATTTTCTCATCCAGTCTACTATTGATGGGCATTTAGGTTGATTCCATGTCTTTGCTATTGTGAATAGTGCTGCAGTGAACATAAGCATGCATGTGTCTTTATGATAGAGCAATTTATATTCCTTTGGGTATACACCCAGTAATGAGATTGCTGGGTTGAAGGGTAGTTCTGTGTTTAGCTCTTTGAGGAACCAACTCACTGATTTCCACAATGGTTGAACTAATATACACTCCAACAGTGTACAAGCATTCCTTTAACTCTGCAACCTCTTTAGGATCTGTTATTTTTTTTTTTACTTTTTTTTTCTTACTTTTTCTTTCTTTTTTTCTTTTTCTTTTTTTAGATGGAGTCTCACTCTTTCACCCAGGTTGGAGTGCAATGGCATGGTCTCGGCTTACTGAAACCTCTGCCTCCTGGGTTCAAGCGATTCTCCTGCCTCAGCCTCCTGAGTAGCTGGGACTACAGGCACCTGCCATCACATCTGGCTAATTTTTGTATTTTTTATAGAGACGGGGTTTCACTATGTTGGCCAGGCTGTCTCTAACTCCTGAACTCATGATCCACCCGCCTCAGCCTCCCAAAGTGCTGGGATTACAGGTGTGAACCAACATGCCTGGCCATTCTGACTGGTGTGAGATGGTATCTCATTGTCGTTTGGATTTGCATTTCTCTAATGATCAGTGATGTTGAGCTTTCTTTTCATATTTTTGTTGACCACATATATGTCTTCTTTTGAAAAGTGTCTGTTTATGTTTCTTGCCCACTTTGTAAGGGAGTTGTTTGTTTGTGTGTGTGGTTTTTTTTTTTTTTGTAAATTTGTTTAAGTTCCTTACAGATGCTAGATAGTAAACCTCTGTCAGATACATAGTTTGCAGAAATTTTCTCCCATTCTGTAGGTTGTCTGTTTACTCTGTTGATAGTTTCTTTTGTTGTGCAGAACTTAGTTAGTTTAGTTAGATCTCATTTGTCAATGTTTGCTTTTGTTGCAATTGCTTTTGGCATCTTCATTATAAAATTTTTTCCTGTTCCTATGTCCAGAGTGGTATTGCCTAGTTGTCTTCCAAGGTTTTTAGAATTTTGGGTTTCACATTTTTCTTAATACACCTTAGGTTGGTTTTTGTATATGTGGCAAGAAAGGGGTCCAGTTTGAATCTTCTGCATATGGGTAGCCAGTTATCCCAGCAACATTTATTGAATAAGGATTCCTTTCCCCATTGCTTGTTTTTGTCAGCCTTGTTGAAAATCAGATGGTTGTACGTGTGCGGCATTATTTCTGGCCTGTCTATTCTGTTCTGTTGGTCTATGTGCCTGGTTTTGTATCACTACCATTGCTGTAGCCCTGTAGTACAGTTTGAAGTCAGGTAGCATAATGTCTCCAGCTTTGTTCTTTGTGCTTAGGATTGCCTTGAATTTTATTTGAGCTCTTTTTGGTTCAATATAAATTTTAAAATAGTTTTCTCTAGTTCTGTGAAGGATGTCATTGGCAGTTTGATAGGAATAGCATTGAACCTATAAATTCCTTTGGGCAATATGGCCATTTTGATGATACTGATTCTTATCCATGCTCTTATCCATGAGCATGCTTTTCAGTTTGTGGTGTCATCTCTGATTTCTTTGAGCAGGGTTTTGTAGTTCTCTTGGTAGAGATCTTTCACCTTGGTTAGCCGTATTCCTGGATATTTTATTCTTTTTGTGGCAATTGTAAATGAGATTGTGTTCCTGATTTGGCTATTGGCTTGACTGTTGTTGGTGTATAGAACTACTAGTGATTTTTGTATCTTGATTTTGTATCCTGGGGTTTTCCTGAAGTTGTTTATCAGATCAAGGAGCCTTTGGACAGAGACTATGGGTTTTTCTGGATACAGAATCAAGCATGTAATCTGCAAACAAAGAAAATTTGACTTCCTCTCTTCTTATTTAGATGCCTTTTATTTCTTTCTCTTGCGTGATTGCTCTGGCTGGGACTTCCAGTACTGTGTTGAATAGGAGAGGTGACAGAGGGTGATATGGTTTGGCTCTGTGTCACCACCCAAATCTCATCTCAAATTGTAACCCTCAAGTGTTGAGAGAGGGACCTGTAATCCCCATGTTTTGAGAGAGGGAGGTGATTGGATCATGGGAGTGTTCTTGTGACAGTGAGTGAGTTCTCATGAGATCTAAAGGTTTTATAAGTGTTTGGAAGTTCCTCCTTCATCCTAATTTGCTCTCCTGCCACCTTGTGAAGAAGGTGACTGCTTCCCCTTCCTCCACAATTGTAAGTTTCCTGAGGCATCCCCAGCCATGCATAATTGTGAGTCAATTAAGCCTCTTTTCTTTATAAATTACCCAGTCTCATGGAAGTTCTTTATAGCAGTGTGAAAATAGACCAATACAGAGGGCATCCTTCACTTGCTCTGGTTTTCAAGGGGAATGCTTCCATCTTTTGCCCACTCATTTTGATGTTGGCGAGGGTTCATCATAAATGGCTCTTATTATTTTGAGGTATGTTCCTTTAATACCTGGTTTATTCAGAGTTTTCAACATGAAGGGGTATTGAATTGTATGAAAAGCCTTTTCTGGGTCAATTGAGATAATTATGTGGCCTTTGCCTTAATTCTGTTTATAATATGTTCAACCAACCTCAAATTCCAGGGATAAAGCCTACTTGATCATAGCGGACAAGCTTTTTGATGTGCTGCTGGATTTGGTTTACCAGTATTTTGTTGAGGATTTTTGCCTGGATATTCATCAAGGATATTAGTCTGAAGTTCTCTTTTTTGTATTGTGTCTCTGCCAGGTTTTGGTATCAGGATGATGCTAGTCTCAAAGAATGAGTTAGGGAGGAGTCCCTCCTCCTCAGTTTTTTTGGAATAATTTTAGTAGGAGTAGTACCAGCTCTTCTTTGTACATCTGGTATGATTCGACTGTGACTCCATCTGGTCCTAGGCTTTTCTTTGTTGGTAGGCTGTTCATTATTGATTCAATTTTGGAGTTTGCTATTAGTCTCTTTAGGGATTCAATGTCTTCCTTGTTCAGACTTGGGAGGGTGTTTGTGTCCAGGAATTTATCCATTTCTTCTAGATTTTGTAGTTTGTATGCATGGAGGTTTTCCTAATATTTTCTGATGGTTATTAGTATTTCTGTGTGGTGAATTTCTTTGTCATTATCATCTCTGTTTTCTTTATTATTCTAGCTAGAAGTCTATCATTTTATTAACTTTTTCAAAAAAAGACAATTCCTGGATGCGTTAATCTTTTTGAAAATTTCAGTAGTTATTGGGGTACAGGTGGTTTTTGGTTTCTGGTTACATGGATAACTTCTTTAGTAGTGATTTTTTTTATTATTATACTTTAAGTTCTAGGGCACACGTCCACAACATACAGGTTTGTTACATATGTATACATGTGCCATGTTGGTGTGCTGCACCCATTAACTCGCCATTTACATTAGGTATATCTACTAATGCTATCCCTCCCCCCTCCCCCCACCCCACGACAGGCCCCAGTGTGTGATGTTCCCCTTCCTGTGTCCAAGTGTTCTCATTGTTCAATTCCCACCTATAAGTGAGAACATGCGGTGTTTGGGTTTTTGTCCTTGTGATAGTTTGCTGAGAATGAGGGTTTCCAGCTTCATCCATGTCCCTACAAAGGACATGAACTCATCATTTTTTATGGCTGCATGGTATTCCATGGTGTATATGTGCCACATTTTCTTAATCCAGTCTATCACTGATGGACATTTGGGTTGGTTCCAAGTCTTTGCTATTGTGAATAGTGCTGCAATAAACATACGTGTGCATGTGGCTTTATAGCAGCATGATTTATAATCCTTTGGGTATATACCCAGTAATGGGATGGCTGGGTCAAATGGTATTTCTAGTTCTAGATCCTTGTGGAATCACCACTGTCTTCCACAATGGTTGAACTAGTTTACAGTCCCACCAACAGTGTAAAAGTGTTCCTATTTCTCCACATCCTCTCCAGCACCTGTTGTTTCCTGACTTGTTAATGATTGCCATTCTTACTGGTGTGAGATGGTATCTCATTGTGGTTTTGATTTGCATTTCTCTGATGGCCAGTGATGATGAGCATTTTTTCATGTGTCTGTTGGCTGCATAAATGTCTTCTTTTGAGAAGTGTCTGTTCATATCCTTCGCCCACTTTGTGATGGGTTTTTTTTTTTTTTCTTGTATATGTGTTTGAGTTCTTCGTAGATTCTGGATATTAGCCCTTTGTCAGATGAGTAGATTGCAAAATTTTTTTCCCATTCTGTAGGTTGCCTGTTCACTCTGATGGTAGTTTCTTTTGCTGTGCAGAAGCTCTTTAGTTTAATCAGATCCCATTTGTCAATTTTGGCTTTCGTTGCCATTGCTTTTGATGTTTTAGACATGAAGTCCTTACCATGCCTATGTCCTGAATGGTATTACCTAGGTTTTCTTCTAGGATTTTTATGGTTTTAGGTCTAACATTTAAGTCTTTAATCCATCTTGAATTAACTTTTTATAAGGTGTATGGAAGGGATCCAGTTTCAGCTTTCCACATATGGCTAGCCAGTTTTCCCAGCATCATTTATTAAATAGGGAATCCTTTCCCCATTTCTTGTTTTTGTTCGGTTTGTCAAAGATCAGATGGTTGTCAATATGTGGTATTATTTCTGAGGGCTCTGTTATGTTCCATTGGTCTATATCTCTGTTTTGGTACCAGTACCATGCTGTTTTGGTTACTGTAGCCTTGTAGTATAGTTTGAAATCAGGTAGCATGATGCTTCCAGCTTTGTTCTTTTGGCTTAGGATTGACTTGGCAATGCGGGCTCCTTTTTGGTTCCATATGAACTTTAAAGTAGTTTTTTCCAATTCTGTGAAGAAAGTTATTGGTAGCTTGATGGGTATGGCATTTAATCTATAAATTACCTTGGGCAGTATGGCCATTTTCACGATATTGATCCTTCCTATCCATGAGCATGGAATGTTCTTCCATTTGTTTGTGATTCACCCAAGCAATATATATGCTACCCAATATGTAGTCATTTATCCTGTACCCCACTTCCGCCCCTTCCTCTGAGTCCCCAGAGTCCATTATATTATTCTTATGCCTTTCCATCTTCATAGCATAGGTTCCACTTATAAGTGAAAACATACAATATTTGGTTTTCCATTCCTGAGTTACTTCACTTAGAATAATGGGCATCCAAGTTGCTGCAAAGGCCATTATTTTGTTCCATTTTATGGCTGAATAATATTCCATGGTATATTTGTGTATATGGATACACACATTCACAACACATTTTCTTTATCCACTCCTTGGTTGATGGGCATTTAGAGTGGTTCCATATCTTTGCAACTGTGCATGCAACTGCTACAAAAATGCGGGTACATGTGTCTTTTTCGTATAATAACTTCCTTTCCTTTGAGTAGATACCCAGTAGTGAGATTGCTGGATGAAATGGTAGCTTTACTTTTAGTTCTTTAAGGAATCTCCATACTGTTTTCCAGAGTGGTTGCACCAGTTTACATTCCCACCAGCAGTGTAAAAGGGTTCTCTTTTCACCACATCTATGCCAACATCTGTAATTTTTTTGATTTTTAAATTATGGCCATGCTCACAGGAATAGGTTGGTTACTCAATGTGGTTTTAATTTGCATTTCCCTGATAATTAGTGATATTAAGCATTTTTTCAGGTTTGTTGTCTGTTTGTATTTCTTCTTTAGAGAATTGTTGATTCATATTCTTTGTGCACTTTTTGATGGAATCTTTTTTTTTCTTGAGGATTTGTTTGAATTCCTTGTGGATTCTGAATATTAGTCCTTTGTCAGGTGCATAGTTTGCGAAGATTTTTTCCCACTTGGTGGGTTGTCGGTTTACTCTGCTGATTATTTCTTTTGCTATACAGAAGATTTTTAGTTTAATTAGGTCCCATTTATTTATTTTGGATTTTGTTGCATTTGCTTTTGGGTTCTTAGTCATAAATTCTTTGCCTAAGCCAATGTCTGGAAGAGTCTTTCTGATATTATAGTCTACAATTTTTATGGTTTCAGGTCATAAATTTAAGTCTTTGATCCATCTTGAGCTGATTTTTTAATAAGGTGAAAGTTGCAGATCCAGTTTTATTCCTCTGTATGTGGCTTGTCAGTTTTCCCAACAACATTTCCTGAATAGGATGTACTTTCCGCACTTTATGTTTTTCTATACTTTGTTGAAGATCAGTTGGCTTTAAGTATTTCATTATATTTATCGGTTCTCTATTGTGTTCCATTGGTTTACATGCCTATTTTTATACACAGTACCATGCTGTTTTGTTAACTATAGCCTTGTAGTATAACTTACAATTGGGTAGTGTGATACATCCAGCTTTGTTCTTTTTGCTTATTATTGCTTTGGCTATGCGGTCCATTTTTTGGTTTCATATATATTATAGGATTGTTTTTTCTAATTCTGTGGCAAATTACAATGCTATATTGATGGTAATTGCATTAAATCTGTAGATTGCTTTGGGCAGTATGGTCATTTTCACAATATTAATTCTACCCATCCATGAACATGGGATGTGTTTTCATTTGTTTGTGTCATCTATGATTTCATTCAGCAGTGTTTTCTGGTTTTCCTTGTAGAGATCTTTCACCTCCTTGGTTAAGTATATTCCAAAGAATTTTAATTTTTTGCAGCTGTTGTAAAAGGGATTGAGTTCTTTATTTAATTCTCAGCTTGGTCATTGTTGGTTATTGCAGTGCTACTGATTTGTGTACATTGATTTTGTATCTTGAGACTTTACTGAATTCATTTATCAGATCTAGGGGCTTTTTCGATGAGTCTTTAGGGTTTTCTAGGTGGATGATCATGTCATTGATGAACAGCTACAGTGTGACTTCCTCTCTTTCCAATCTGAATGTCCTTTATTTCTTTCTCTTGTCTTATTACTCTGGCTGGGACTTCCAGTATTATGTTGAATAGAAGTGCTGAAAGTGGGCATCTTTGTCTTGTTCCAGTTCTCAGGGGGAATGCTTTTGACTTTTCTCCATTCAATATGATGTTGGCTGTGGGATTGTCATAGATAACTTTTATTGCTTTGAGGTATGTTCCTTCTATCTCAGTTTTGTCGAGGGTTTTTATCATAAAGAGATGCTGGATCTTGTCAAATGTTTTTGTCTGTGTCTATTGAGATGATCATATGATTTTTCGTTTAAATTCTGTTTATGTGATGTATCACATTTATTGACATGCATATGTTAAACCATTCCTGCATCCCTGGTATGAAACCCACTTGATGATAATGTATTATCTTTTTGATATGCTGTCGGATTTGGTTAGCTAGTATTTTCTTGAGGATTTTTGCATCTATGTTTATCAGTGATATTGGTCTGTAGTTTTCTTTTTTGTTATGTCCTTTCCTGGTTTTGGTATTAGGGTGATACTGGCTTCATAGAATTATTTATGGAGGATTCCTTCTTTCTCTATCCTGTGGAATAGTGTCATTGGATTGGTACCAATTCTTCTTTGAATGTCTGATAGAATTCAGCTGTGAATCCATCTGGTCCTGAACTTTTTTGGTTGGCAATTTTTTATTACTGATTTAATCTCTCTACTTGTTATTGGTCTGCTCAGAGTTTCTATTTCTTCCTGATTTAATCTAGAAAAGTTATATATTTCTAAAAATTCATCCATCTTCTCTAGGTTTTTTAGTTTGTGCATGTAAAGGTATTCATAGTAGCCTCAACTGATCTTTTGTATTTTATGGTATCAGTTGTAATGTCTCCTGTTTCATTTCTAGTTGAGCAAATTTGTATATTCTCTCTTCTTTTCTTGGTTAGTTTTGCTAATGGTCTATCAATTTTGCTTATCTTTTCCAAGAACTAGCTTTTGTTTCATTTATCTTTTGTATATTTTTGTTTCAATTTCATTTAGTTCTGCCCTGATCTTTATTATTTCTTTTCATCTGCTGGGTTTGGGTTCAGTTTGTTCTTGTTTCTCTAGTTCCTTGAGGTATAATGTTAAGTTGTCTATTTGTGCTTTTTCAGACTCTTTGATGTAGGCATTTAATGCTATGAACTTTCCTCTTAGCACCACTTTTGCCATATCCCAGAAGTTTGGATCAGTTTTGTCATTGTTACAGGATATTATTTAATTTTCTTGTATTTTTAAAAGTTTTAAGTATTCCTTTTGGAGTTAACTTCCAGTTTTACTTCACTTTGGTCTGAGAAATTATTTTATATATTTTTGATTTTCTTAAATTTATTGGGACTTGTTTTATGGCCTATCATATGGCCTATCTCAGAGAATTTTTCCAGTGCTGATGAAAAGAATGTATATTCTGCAGTTGTTGGGTAGAATGTTCTGTAAATATCTGTTAAGCTCATTTGTTCTAGAATATAGTTTCTCTGTTGTTTCTTTGTTGACTTTCTGTCTTGATGATCTGTCTAGTGCTATCAGTGGAGTACTGAATTCCCGTAGTATTATTGTGTTGCCATTTATCTCATTTCTTAGGTCTAGTAGTAATTGATTCATAAATATGGGACCTTCAATGTTAGATGCATATGTATTTAGGATTGTAATATCTTCCTGTGGGACTAATCCTTTTATCATCATATAATGTCTTCTTTGTCTGTTTTTACTGTTGTTGCTTTAAAGTCTCTTTTGTCTCATATAAGAATAACCACTCCTGCTTGCTTTTGGTTTCCATTTGAGTGGAATATCTTTCAGTTTATATGAGTCCTTATGTGTTAAGTGAATCTCTTGAAGACAGCGTATACTTGGTTGGTGGTTTTTAATCCATTCTACCATTCTCTATCTTTTAAGTGAAGCATTTAGGCCATTTACCTTCAAAGTTAGGATTGAGATGTGAGGTACTGTTCTATTCACCATGTTAGTTGTTGCCTAAATACCTTTTTTTATCATTCTGTTATTGTTTTATAGGCCCTGTGAGATTTATGCTTTAAGTAGGTTCTACTTTGGTCTATTTCAAGGTTTTGTTTCAAGATTTAGAACTCTTTTTTGGCATTTCTTATAGTGCTGGTTTGGTAGTAGCAAATTCTCTCAGAATTTATTTGTCTGATCCTTTCTGGCTTGTAAGATTTCTGCTGAGAAATCTGCTGTTAATGTCATAGGTTTTTCTTTATAGGTTATCTGATGCCTTTGTCTCACAGCTCTCATGATTCTTTCTTTCATCTTGCCTTTGGATAACCTGATGACTACAGGCCTTGTTAATGATCTTTTTGCAATGAATTTTCCAGGAGTTCTTTGGGGTTCTTGTATTTGGATGTCTAGATCTCTAGCAAGAACAGGGAATTTTTCCTCAATTATTCCCTCAAGTAATTTTTCCAAGCTTCTAGTTTTTTCTTCTTCCCCAGGAATGCCAATTATTCTTAGGTTTGGCCATTTTACATAATCCAATATTTCTTGGAGACTTTGTGTATTTATTTTTATTATTTTTATTTGTTGAGATCTAATTGGGTTAATTCAAATGCTTGGTATTCCTGCTGTGAAATTCTGTCTTCTACTTGTGCTAATCTGTTGTTGAAACTTTTCATTGTATTTTATATTTCCCTAAGTGTGTCTTTCATTTCTTTCATTTCCAAAAGTTCTGATTGTTTGTTCTTTATGATGTCTATTTCTCTGAAAAAGTTTTCATCTATACCCTGGATTTTTTAAAACTTCTTTAAGTTGGTTTTCACCTTTATCTGGTATCTGCTTGAGTAGTTTAATAACCTTCTGAATAATTTATCTGGCAATTCAGAGAATTTTTTTTCTAGATTTAGATCCATTGCTAGGAGCTGGTGTCATATTACCAAAATTACTTTTCTTATTCCTTCTCATTTGGGTAGAGTATTTTTTCAAATTGTTCTTGAATTTATTTTTGATTGGACTGTGTTTTTTAATTTCTTTTTTTCTCCTCTTAAAAATTGGACCTTAATGTTTATTTTAGCCTAATTTGATTCTTGGTGCTTTTGGGGCTGAAGACTCTACATGAATTCCTTATAGAGAGTCGTTGTTTGCTGGGTTTCCCACATCCTGGTTGTAGTAGTTATATTCTTGCTGTTTGGGCAAGTTCACTGTCTCCTATGTGATTAGAATGGGAGCGGTTTCTTGAAGCTTACCTTGTTCTCTTATGGTATACTCTTCATTTATTTATTTTATTTTTCTCCAGTATTTTACTTACTGAGTTGATGATTCGGTTTCAGGTCAATAAAGGAGGTATTCCTGGGTAGGCACCAGTCATAGCCTAACCAGGAGGTGGGTAGATGTAATACCCAAAAGTGGGCTGAGGTCCCAGCCTTGATGAGGGTGGCTGGGTGAGTGCTCAATTAAACATGCTGAGGTTTTACCAGGGTGAAGATCGGAAGCTACCTCAGCTCCCCTGCCAAGCCAGCAGGAAAGCTATTCACCACAGAGCCTCACTCCTGTTCCAGTGTTTCAGCTATTCAGATCATTCAGGCACCTCTTTTCATCTGTAGAAACGTTGATGTTCCAACATCAACATCTGCCTGTCATGCAGGCCTGAATCTAGGTGGTGCTCCTTCTTGGGGCTGTGCTATCCTGGATTATACCAGAAAGGCTGTCTGTAGTTGCATCCAAGCTGTGTTCCTGTGGGTGAAGCCCCAGCTGTGTCTACAGTGAAGTGACAGGGGAAACAAGGACCCCTCTTTTTAAAGCCCTTTCCAATCACAAAGGATGCCTGCTTGTTGGGGTTGAGGTGCAAACTTTCCCTACTACACCCAGCATTGCAATTGTGTCTCCGCTGTGAGAAATTTCCCATGAGTGGAACGGTCTGGGACTCAAGGCCTGCTGTTCAGATTCTTTTGTCCCATGGGGTAAGCCATTGATATGTTGCTCTCCTCCTTCCCCTAGGGATGGGGTTTTCTGAAAGCCAGTCTGCAGTAATTGCTATTGCTGTTCTAGGTCTAGCCACTTAGTGGGGGCTTCCAGTCTAGAATAGTGTTGGGGAATGTCTGCAAAGAGTCCATGGTTTTGACCTGTGTTTGGGTGTCCCAGTAGTAGATACCAGCACCTGCTTTGATGGAGGTGGCAGGGGAGTGACATAGACTCTGTGAAAATCCTTGGTTGTACTGAGACAATGGGGTTTTCTAGATATACAAGCATGTCATCTGCAAACAGGGGCAATTTGACTTCCTCTTTTCCTAATTGAATACTCTTTATTTCCTTCTCCTGCCTAATTGCCCTGGCCAGAACTTCCAACACTATGTTGAATAGGAGTGGTGAGAGAGGGCATCCCTGTCTTGTGCCAGTTTTCAAAGGGAATGCTTCCAGTTTTTGCCCATTCAGTATGATATTGGCTGTGGGTTTGTCATAGATAGCTCTTATTATTTTGAGATACGTCCCATCAATACCTAATTTATTGAGAGATTTTAGCATGAAGGGTTGTTGAATTTTGTCAAAGGCCTTTTCTGCATCTATTGAGATAATCATGTGGTTTTTGTCTTTGGTTCTGTTTATATGCTGGATTACATGTATTGATTTGCGTATATTGAACCAGCCTTGCATCCCAGGGATGAAGCCCACTTGATCATGGTGGATAAGCTTTTTGATGTGCTGCTGGATTCGGTTTGCCAGTATTTTATTGAGGATTTTTGCATCAATGTTCATCAAGGATATTGGTCTAAAATTGTCTTTTTTGGTTGTGTCTCTGCCCGGCTTTGGTATCAGGATGATGTTGGCCTCATAAAATGAGTTAGGGAGGATTCCCTCTTTATCTATTGATTGAAATAGTTTCAGAAGGAATGGTACCAGTACCTCCTTGTACCTCTGGTAGAATTCAGCTGTGAATCCATCTGGTCCTGGACTCTTTCTGGTTGGTAAGCTATTGATTATTGCCACAATTTCAGAGCCTGTTATTGGTCTATTCAGAGATTCAACTTCTTCCTGGTTTAGTCTTGGGAGAGTGTATGTGTTGAGGAATTTATCCATTTCTTCTAGATTTTCTAGTTTATTTGCATAGAGGTGTTTGTAGTATTCTCTGACAGTACTTTGTATTTCTGTGGGATCGGTGGTGATACCCCTTTATCATTTTTTATTGCATCTATTTGATTCTTCTCTCTTTTTTTCTTTATTAGTCTTGCTAGTGGTCTATCAATTTTGTTGATCCTTTCAAAAAACCAGCTCCTGGATTCATTAATTTTTTGAAGGGTTTTTTGTGTCTCTATTTCCTTCAGTTCTGCTCTGATTTTAGTTATTTCTTGCCTTCTGCTAGCTTTTGAATGTGTTTGCTCTAGCTTTTCTAGTTCTTTTAATTGTGATGTTGGGGTGTCAATTTCGGATCTTTCCTGCTTTCTCTTGTGGGCATTTAGTGCTATAAATTTCCCTCTACACACTGCTTCGAATGTGTCCCAGAGATTTTGGTATGTTGTGTCTTTGTTCTCACTGGTTTCAAAGAACATCTTTATTTCCGCCTTCATTTCGTTATGTACCCAGCAGTCATTCAGGAGAAGGTTGTTCAGTTTCCATGTAGTTGAGCGGTTTTGAGTGAGATTCTTAATCCTGAGTGCTAGTTTGATTGCACTGTGGTCTGAGAGACAGTTTGTTATAATTTCTGTTCTTTTACATTTGCTGAGGAGAGCTTTACTTCCAAGTAAGTGGTCAATTTTGGAATAGGTGTGGTGTGGTCCTGAAAAAAATGTATATTATCTCCTTAAGCTGATAAGCAACTTCAGCAAAGTCTCAGGATACAAAATCAATGTGCAAAAATCACAAGCATTCTTATACACCAGTAACAGACAAACAGAGAGCGAAATCATGAGTGAACTCCCATTCACAATTGCTTCAAAGAGAATAAAATACCTAGGAATCCAACTTACAAGGGACGTGAAGGACCTCTTCAAGGAGAACTACAAACCACTGCTCAATGAAATAAAAGAGGATACAAAGAAATGGAAGAACATTCCATGCTCATGGGTAGGAAGAATCAATATCCTGAAAACGGCCATACTGCCCAAGGTAATTTACAGATTCATAGATTCAATGCCATCCCCATCAAGCTACCAATGACTTTCTTCACAGAATTGGAAAAAACTACTTTAAAGTTCATATGGAACCAAAAAAGAGTCTGCATCACCAAGTCAATCCTAAGCCAAAAGAACAAAGCTGGAGGCATCATGCTACCTGACTTCAAACTATACTACAAGGCTACAGTAGCCAAAACAGCATGGTACTGGTACTGAAACAGAGATATAGACCAATGGAACAGAACAGAGCCCTCTGAAATAATGACACATATCTACAACTATCTGATCTTTGACAAACCTGACAAAAACAAGCAATGGGTAAAGGATTCCCTATTTAATAAATGGTGCTGGGAAAACTGGCTAGCCATATGTAGAAAACTGAAACTGGATCCCTTCCTTACACCTTATACAAAAATTAATTCAAGATGGATTAAAGACTTAAATGTTAGACCTCAAACCACAAAAACCCTAGAAGAAAAACTAGGCATTACCATTCAGGACATAGGCATGGGCAAGGACTTCATGTCTAAAACACCAAAAGCAATGGCAACAAAAGCCAAAATTGACAAATGGGATCTAATTAAACTAAAGAGCTTCTGCACAGCAAAAGAAACTACCATCAGAGTGAACAGGCAACCTACAAAATGGGAGAAAATTTTCTCAACCTACTCATCTGACAAAGGGCTAATATCCAGAATCTACAATGAACTCAAACAAATTTACAAGAAAAAAACAAACAACCCCATCAACAAGTGGGCAAAGGATATGAACAGACACTTCTCAAAAGAAGACATTTATGTAGCCAAAAGACACATGAAAAAATGCTCATCATTACTGGCCATCAGAGAAATGGAAATCAAAACCACAATGAGATACCATCTCACAGCAGTTAGAATGGTGATCATTAAAAAGTCAGGAAACAACAGGTGCTGGAGAGGATGTGGAGAAATAGGAACACTTTTACACTGTTGGTGGGACTGTAAACTAGTTCAACCATTGTGGAAGTCAGTGTGGCGATTCCTCAGGGATCTAGAACTAGAAATACCGTTTGACCCAGCCATCTCATTACTGGGTATATACCCAATGGACTATAAATCATGCTGCTATAAAGACACATGCACACGTATGTTTACTGTGGCACTATTCACAATAGCAAAGACTTGGAACCAACCCAAATGTCCAACAATGATAGACTGGATTAAGAAAATGTGGCACATATACACCATGGAATACTATGCAGCCATAAAAAATGAGTTCATGTCCTTTGTAGGGACATGGATGAAACTGGAAATCATCATTTTGAGGAAACTATCACAAGGATAAAAAACCAAACACCGCATGTTCTCACTCATAGGTGGGAATTGAACAATGAGAACACATGGACACAGGAAGGGGAACATCACACTCTGGGGACTGTTGTGGGGTGGGGGGAGGGGGGAAGGATAGCATTAGGAGATATACCTAATGCTAAATGACGAGTTAATGGGTACAGCACACCAGCATGGCACATGTATACATATGTAACTAACCTGCACATTGTGCACATGTACCCTAAAACTTAAAGTATAATAATAATAAAATAAAATAAAATAAATAAGATATTTTAATAGGAAATAAAATCAGAAGAACTGGAAAAGAAAAAAAAAGAAAATCCTTGGTTGTAGACAGGCTTAGAGTGCTGGCTTTCTCAAATGTTGTTTATGCTATTAGTGAGTCTGTCAGGTGGACAAACTCAAGACCTCTGATTAGCCAGTTACAAGCAGTGGTGTTAGCACCCATTTTCTCCTTCCTGGGAGCAGTATTATTCTGCCATGAGTTGCTGTAATGACTTAAGTTGGTTTGCCTCTTGCCAAGATGTGGTGCTAACATAAGAGCTCCTTAACATAGTAATGGAAGTCCCAGTCAGAACAATCAAGCAAGTGAAAGAAATAAAATGCATCAAAATGAGAAGACAGGAAGTCGTATTATTTTTGTTTGCAGATGACATGATTATATGTTAAATAGCAGTGATGACAGAAGGCATCCTTGTCTTGTGCTAGTTTTCAAGGGGAATGCTTCTAGCTTTTGCTCATTCATTATGATGTTGGCTGAGGATTTGCCATAGATGGCTCTTATTATTTCCAGGTATGTTCCTTGAATACCTAGTTTATTGCAAGTTTTGAACATGAAAAGGTGTTGAATTTTATCAAAGGCCTTTTCTGTATTGATTGCAATAATCATGTGTTTTTTATCTTTACTTCTGTTTATGTGATGAATCACATTTAGTGTGCATGTTGAACCAACCTTGTATCCCCAAGGATAAAGACTACGTGATTGTGATGGATAAGTCGTTTGATGTGCTGCTGGATTTGGTTTACCAGTATTTTGTTGAGGATTAATCTTTTTAATAGTTTTTTGTGTCTCAATCTCCTTCAATTCAGCTTTGATTTTAGTTATTTCTTATCTTTGGCTAGCTTTGAGGTTTGTTTTCTCTTGCTTCTCTAATTCTTTCAGTTTTCATGTTGCGTTATTAAATTGAGATCCTTTTAAATTTTTGATGTGCATGTTTAGTGTTACAAATTTTTCTCTTAACAGTTCCTTAGCAGTGTCCCAGAGATTCTGGTATGTTGCATCTTTGTTCTCATCAGTTTTAAAAAACATCTTGATTTCTCCCTTAATTTAATTACTTACCCAAAAGTTGTTCAGGAGCAGGTTACTTAATTTCCATGTAATCGTATGGTTTTGAGCGATTTTTGTAGTCCCAAATTCTAATTTTATTGTTCTGTGGTCTGATAGAGTGGTTGATATAATTCCATTTTTTTGCATTTGCTGAGTATTGTTTGATGTCTAATTATGTGATCGATTTTAGAGTATGTGCTGTGTGGTGATGAGAAAACTGTATATTCTGTTGTTTTTGGGTGGAGAGTTCTGTATATGTCTTTCAGGTTCATTTGATCCAGTGCTGAATTTATGTTTGGGATTTCTATGTTAATTTTCTGCCTCAATTATCTATCTAGTACTGACAGTGTGGTATTGGATGAAGTCTCCCACTATTATTACATGGGAATCTAAGTCTCTTCATAAATCTCTAAAAACTTGCTTTATGAATCTCGGTGCTCCTGTATTAGATGCATATATTTTTAGGATGGTTATTTCTTCCTGTTGAATTGAATGAACTCTTTACTATTATGTAGTATCCTGGTCTTTTTTTATCTTTGCTGGTTTTGTTTGTTTTGTCTCAAATTAGGTTAGCAACCCTTGATTTTTTTCTGATTTCCATTTGCTCAGTAGATTTTTCTCCATCCCTTTATTTCAAGTCTATAGGTGTCATTTCATGTGAGATGGGTTGCTTGAAGATAGCACACCTATGGGTTTGGTGTTTTATCCAGCTTGACACTCTGTGCCTTTTAATTGGGACATTTAGCCAGTTTCCATTCAAGGTTTATATTGATATTTGTGAATTTGATACTGTTGTCATGATGTTAGCTCGTTATTATGCAGATTTGTTTGTGTGGTTGCTTTATAGTGTCAATGGTCTGTGTACTCATGAGTGTTTTTGTAGTGGCTGGTAATGGTCTCTCCTTTCCACATTTTGTGCCTCCTTCAGGAGCTTTTGGAAAACAGGTATGTTGATAACAAATTCCCCTAGCGTTTGCTTGTCTAAAGAGAATCTCATTTCTCCTTTGCTTATGAAGATCAGTTTGGCTACATATAAAATTTTTGGTTGAAATTTCTTGACTTTAAGAATGTTGCATATTGACCCCTAATCTCTTCTGTCTTGTAAGGTTTCTACTGAGAGGTCAACTGTTAATCTGTTGGGCTTGCCTTTGTAGGTGATTGGCCCTTTCCTCTCTAGCTGCCTTTAACATTTTTTCTTTCATTTCAATCTTGGCAAATCTGATGATTATGTGTCTTGGGGATAATCTTTTTGTGAAGTATCTTAATGAGGTTCACTGCATTTTCTGAATGTGAATGTTGGCCTCTCTAGCTAGTTTGGGGAAATTGTCATAAATGACATCCTGAAATATATTTTCCAAGTTGCTTCCATTCTCCCCATCTTTTTCAGGGACACCAATGAATCATAGATTTTGTCTCTACATAATCCCTTATTTCTCAGAGGTTTTGTCAATTCCTTTTTATTGTTTTTTCTCTATTCTTGTCTGACTGTCTTATTTTTGAAAGCCAGACTTCAAACTCTGTGATTCTTTTCTCAGCTTGGTCTGTTCTGTTAATAATACTTGCAATTGCATTATGAAATTCTTGCAGTACCTTTTTCAGCTCTATTAGGTCGGTTATATTCTTTTCTATACTAGCTATTTTGTTTGTCAGCTCCTGTATCATTCTATTGTGATTCTTAGCTTCCTTGGATTAGGTTTAAATGTACTCCTGCATCTCTATAGCCTTTGTTCCTACTCACATTCTGAATATTTTTTTTTCTGTAATTTCAGTCATCTCAGCCCAGTTCAGAACCCTTGCTGGAGAGCTAGTGTGATCCTTTGGAGGAAAGAAGGCACTCTGGCTTTTTGAGTTCTCAGAGTTCTTGCACTGGTTCTTTTGCATCATTGTGGGCTCATGTTTCTTTAATCTGTGAAGCTCCTGTCCTTTCATGGTAGTTTTTTTTTCTTTCATCTTATTTGATGACCTCAAGTGTTTTATTGTGGAATAAGATGGATTCAGTTGACTGGCTTGGTTTCTGGAAGATTTTAGGGAGCCACGGCTCAGCTCACAACTCCTAAACTGCACACTTTAACTCTAGGTCACTGCTATTATGTCCCAACTTTGTTCTCTGGCTCCTCCAGGTTAGAAACTCCCTGTGCTAGTGGGGGCTGAGGTGCTCCCAGACCATTAGTTACAGCATTCCAATGGGTGCAGCCATTCAAAGAGTTTCACAGGGTGGTGACAGCAGGATGCATCCTCTTTCACACGTGTCAGCAGCAGTGGCAGTGCCAGTTCAGTGGGGTGCATGCTAGTTGGCTGCAGCAGGCTGCTAGCAGGTGCCAGTCTCTGTGCACGTGTTCACAGCAGCCATGGAGGCCGCACAGCTTGCAGGGACAGGAGGGTCTCCCACTGGCGATTGCGTGCATGGTTGCCCTGGTAGTGGTGTTAGCATGGGGGGTAGAGTGCCAGCAGGAACAGGACTGTATGTACCCTCTGTGCCCATTCATACAGGCAGAGGTGGCTGCTCCAGGCAAAGGAGGGTCCGCTGTCTTCTGTGCCTAGTTTCACTCCATTGGCAGTTTTAGCTAATGGGTGGGGCACTGGTGGTGGCAGGTCTGACTGCCTCTATGCCCGCCAAGATTCTGACTGCAATGGTGGTAGGGCAGGGGTAGGGGGCACAGAGTGCACTCATGCTGGCAGCAGTGGCAGGGCAGGGTGCACATGCACATACACACTGGTGGGGCAGAGAAGGCAAGATCCACAGGCACAAGTAAAGTAATGCGGGAAGTGGCCGTAGGCAGGGAGGCAGCTGTGTTGGGAGAGAGTGGATGGGCTGGTGCATGTCCATGGGACTGCTCTGGCACAGTCTGTCAGTGCAGGAGCTATGATGCAGCCCCCAGGGCACCCAGGGTGGCACTGCAAACAGAGGCAGCGAGGCTGATGCCCTGGCAGAGGCCAGAAGACCAAGGGTGCTCAGGTCGGAACAGCCCCATCTGATGGGCAAGACCACCCTGCAGAATTGAGGTCTGACAGTTCCCCTAGAGCTAAGGTCTCCTGTGGCAGCAAGTCAAACCTAGGGTAATGGTGTCTTCGGCTGTGCTCCACTATAGGTGCTCCTGCACCAAATCCTCTGGGTTCCACATCACCTGGAGTTCTGCCCCTACAACTTCTCTAAGCAGCTCTCCCTGACAACTTAAGTGTCTGTGGTGGTTGAGGGGTCTCCTTCCAAGATTCCAGAGGCCCATGGCAGGAGTGGGTTGCTCTTTGCCAATTCAACTCACCCATTCATTCCCCCAGAGTCACTGGGGACCAAGAATGTGACCCAGTGCATGGCAGCCCCTTGAAACATTTTCTTTTTCCTCCTTTTTCAGCCCAGCTTCGGTGTCTTTCCTCTAACCACTCAGTGCCTTCAGTCTACTTTTAAAAAACAGTTATTTTCACATTCATTGTTTTCCTTTTATAGCTTTCCACCATTTTATAAAAAGAATGCTGTCATTTTTTTCAAAACTATCATTTACTTTCCATTGTGCAATATTCTAGGGAAGACTAAAAATATTTTCACTCTCCAATATATCTTTCTTATTCAGTCCTATTTTCTGACACTGTTGATTTTCCCCTGTTATTTCTTGAATAATGCTAAAATCATTATGACTATTTATGTTGATCATCCTTTTCACTTGTTTGGAGCAAAATGATCAATCATCATGAACACACTCTCAGTAACCTAGACACTGGTTCTAGGTGTCTAACAAAAAATATTTGTTAATTTTTAATAACTTTTGAAGTTGAATTTTACTCAAAAGAGCAAAAATAGAAAAATTTTAAAATTCACTTTTTGGTATATTAGACTCCATTAAAGTTTGTGCATTTTCACAGACTGTTAAATTATTACATTATAAACATTATTGTGTTTTTAATTTTTTATTAAGAAAGAATTACCCAAAGCTGTTATGAAATGCATTACCTTAACCAGTGTGAATGTTATCTATGCTTTATTACTCATCTCAAGACTCATGATATTTAGAACAGAACTCACTTTATTAAGAACATTGTCTAGCATATCTGAATATATATTGTTTATTTGAATAGGTGTTTGGTTCCTAGAGAAAGATTTCTTCCCTTAAACAGTATATTTATCCATTTATTAATTAATTAGGTTCTACAATTACTAGATTGCTTAATGTTGGGCCTACAAAATTAAATAAAAGAGATAGTACTTTTTTTGAAGCTGTGGTACATGGAATAATTTCCAATTTATTTTTAGAACCATCCGATTTTCCAAGAATATGACATACAGTGAATGGGGGTAGTGAGAGAAAGCCTAGAAAGGTGGAAAAGTATCAGCTCTTAGAACAGCTTTAAAAGTGTATCAAGCTGATTTTTTCTTGGGATACCGATAGACTCCTCTGAGTTTGGGGACAGAAGAGTAACATGATCAGATCTAAATATGTTAGCAGGTTTAAGGATATGCTGAGATTGGACATGGGGAGATGATTAATGAAATCACTGCTAATGTTCAAGCGACAAATGATAAATTCAGAACTAAAGTTAGTGGTGATTAAATTATGGAGAAGCATGTGATGTTGAAACAGATGAAACTCTGAGGCTGTTAAGAATTAAAATCTAGAGGACTTGGCCAGGATAAGGTTAAAGTCAGAATGTTAAAAAAATAAATTACCCCCAAAGACTATTGTAGTCTTGCCTAAAAGACATGGAAGCAGTACCCAAGATGTGGAATTTTACAGAAGGAACAAGTATTAGTGGAGAGATGACTAATTTGTTCATTCAGCAATATAAATATACGGTAATATTTATGTCATCTGTTGCCTCTTTAATTTGGAGCCTAGTGCTTATGTAGTGGTTAATACAGTGGATAAGTATGCAGCATCCCCATAAAGTCAGACATAGGCAAAGGAGTTTGCATCTATATAAATGCATCTTACAATTTTTATATTTCAGGATTAAGAATCTTTGCCTCAACTTTAATATACTGTAAAACACACATGTCGAACAAAGTCTGATTATAGATAAGTTTGTCCTGAAAACATTTTGTTGCTGGCAAATGTATAAAAAACAAACATTTACTCCTTCGCTTTAGTTAAAAGTTAGTACTTCTCTTTTTTAGACCCTCCATCCCTCCCTCCCTTCCTTCCTTCTTTCCTTCCTTCCTTCCTTCCTTCCTTCCTTCCTTCCTTCCTTCCTTCCTTCCCATCCATCTATATACCTATACCACACCCAAATGGTCAAGAGTCCAGGAAAATGTCTCCAAATCACAACAAATCCACCAGAGAAAATACATAACATGTTTTTTTTCTTTAATGGGAGATTAACATAGTTTTGTAATTAAAAATGTGCAAATGGGGTAGTAGATATTCATGTTAATATTTTGTTTAATAGAGTTCAAATAATTCATTACAAACATTATGTGAATACAATGCTGTCATTTCAGTATATTCCTTAAACCATATGAGTATTTGAAAAATAATTTTAAAAATATGTGGTAATACTCCAAGTGTCCTGAAGAGTTTGAATAAAATATTTATTATTTTTTCCCAGATTTAGTTTTCTACATTTAGCAATTCAAAGTTCAAATTGTAATTATGATTCAAAAAAGTAGTAGAATGCAATACATTCATTCACACAAGACACTGATTAAGTCAAAATTCCTAAAGAATTTTATTAATGCCTAAACCCCTGCAAAAATGCCTAAATAAATATTGCTATATTGCAGTTGGAGAGGGCAATCTTTTTATACTCCTGTAATGGAATACAGTTGTCTTCTATTTCTTTATGCATCTATCGATTCTACAGAAAGATGCACTTACGAAAATCAGTGTGTAAAAGACTTCTTTTTTATTCTTTTATTTCCTCACAAGGTTGTTTAATGTTTCATTGGGAAGTCTAAGCATTCCTGATGATCAAAATGTAAACATTGTTTCTAAAATTTTACAAATAAGAAATGACATAATCTTGATGAGAAAAGTTACTACTTCCATCTCCCACATGTAAATATACCATATTCAAGAATTTATCTGTATTAAGAAAAGACTTACTTTTCACGAATTATATCTACCATTTTTACTCAGCAACTCTTATTAATCAATTTGCATTAATTAATTGGAGTATTTAAATCCCCCTCTCCACAAGGTACCATATAAGACACTCATTGAATAATAGTTATGATTGAGCATTTTATAGAAGTTAGTATATTATATTTCTTTAAGAAAATTTTGTTCAAACATATGAGATTTGGGGGAATTTAAAGGGAGATTTTTTCCTTTAAAAATATACTACACTTTTCCAAACATAGATTGAGACAACAGAAAATATCCTAAAAATTAAAATACCCGTGCCAATGACAAAGCATTTTCTTTGCTTATTTAAAAAAAATTATCTGCACAGATGAATTTTAAAACTGAAGTTCAAAACCCTCTCTGCATGTCTCCACTGGAATCACATACCCTTGGACACTCTCTTAGTTAAATGTGTGTTTTGTAGGTATTCGTTTATGTGGCCAATTTGCAGTTCCTACAATCCACATAAAACTGGCTTTTTCAAATGCATAATGAAAGAACTGCAACTGAACTATAATGACAAAAAAGGTTATTTAGCCTTCAAAACATTTAGTTACCTTCAAAAGCGAATTCTGGGGGAGCAGTACAGAGACCCTTTCTGATTAAGCCTTCATTAGTAAGCCTTTATTTCTCCCACTGCTCTTTCCCTATACTTTGTCTTCTTTTCCCTTTGCTCTTCTCTCTTTGTTATTTTGATTTCTCTATGTAAGAAGTGAAAGTTCAATGTAAAATTGTTTGAATTTGCTGGAAAAAAAAAAACCTGTTGAAAGATTGTGATTGCATTTGAATTCAATGGTTCTGAAACTCAAAAAAAAGAAAAGTGGCAGATGGGCAAAGATGGATGATTTCTGACCAGGAAGATCATTGATAGCATAATATAAACCATGGGCTTGAAGGGATTTCTGTAGGTAAAGTGTTTAGATAATAAAACAATTTTTAAATGAGTCAAACTTTTGCCTTCCTTGTTCTAACATATTTATAATTATGTCTTTACAATATCTGATATGAAAGAAGTTATATTTGATTGGTTAAAATGATTCTTACATTATAATTCTAAAAGTAGAAATCTTTTTTTTTTGCTTATTTGGGTTTATTTTTAGCTTATTTTGAAATGATGTTATCCAGATTCTTTAAATTATTTCATTTATTCATTGACTAATATGTATTAATCACACATGAAGAGCAAAGCACAATTTCTTGTCCTAGGAATATAAGCAGTTAAAAAACCAGACAAGGTTGTCAGTCGAAGAACTGAAGATATTACTGGTTTTCTTTTTAATGAAATACACTGTCTACTGGTATCCCTGAAAATTATCTGATTCTATAGAGGTGTGTATTTTAATTGACTTTGACATATGGTATAAAAATTAAAGTCTACAAAACTGATAATGCAAATGATTTCTGTTTATGACAATGCAAATGAACATTGTCCAATAGAGAATATAAATCTAAGTCAAATTCTTAATCCAACAGATTGTAGCTTACTTGTTCCTTCATTAATTAATGAGTTAAATAAAATATTTAAAACATATGCATTTAATATTTGATGACAGTCATGATTTTATCATTTTGAAAATTTTATTTTAACAAAGCGTTTGTCTTTTTGGAACTTATTTTCTACTGATTCTTATGCAAATGCCTGCACAACTTAAAAAAGAAGAATTCTTCCATTGTCATTATAATAACATAGCCTCTCTAGGAAGGTAGAAAGTCTTCATTTATATTGGCAGAAAAATATAAGCATAAAAATATTTATTATATATATCTGAAAATTTATAAAAATATAAATACATTTCAAGGATCTGGGCTTCCAAACAAATATGTATTTTTTGAAAGATCCAAAAGTAAGGGTAGACGGTTTCCTGGGTTTCCCGTGCCTCTTTTAACTTTGGCACAGAGCATAAGATTGTAGTTTTTAGACAATGATTTTTACTAGTTAACCTAAAATGAAAGTATACATATTGTTTATAGAGTTGTTGGTAAATATAGTTGAACACCCACCATGCAGTTTACAGGATCCAGCTGGTTATTATAAGCTTTTGTGAGTAGTCAATAAAACTTAATAGATACCAATTTCTAGTACTTTGCTTCCAGAGCCACAATCGTAGAAAATTAGCCCACTTGGAAGAGAACATAATATCATTTAGTCATGAATCCTGACAATATAAGGAACTGATATTCAGCAGTGATATCTGTGAATGATAAAACAGTTAAAAGAAATGCATAAGCTTAAATAGTGTGATAATTGAACATATTGGTGTAAAATCTTTTCTGAAAATATGATAAATTTTACCAAATTCTTTTGAATTATTCTTGTGGCTAAGTTCCTTAGTCTGCCTTTTTATTATTTAGTTAGTTAGGTTGTCAGAAATCCATATACATTAACATTAAAAATATCATAAACTGATCAGGGACCAGTTTAATAAGATTACTCATTTGCGGGAGATTCTACATATAAGCCATGTTTAGATGATAAAAATATTGATAATTGTAAACAAGTGTATATTAATAAATTTAAAATATTCTTAGGATTTCCCAAAATAGAGTTAGCATATTGTACTTTTCCAACAGCCTATGAATCCTGACTTTAAAATTTGCTAATCATATGGTAAAATAATTTAATCCTCTTTTTCTCTTACTCTTCAAAGCACATAAATAAATAGCATTTTATTCACAAAACACATTACAAATTATAACATATTGAACTAAGGCTAAATGAAGCAATTATTTAGTGACCGACATCAGGACACTTCATTGGTCAGGAAACAAGGAGCATAAATATCAGCCATGTTAAATTGTAATTTGAAAAAGTTCTCAGTCCAAATTAGCAGAATGCATTGAGAGAGTTTGAGGTAGCATCACCTCTCCCTTTCAAATTTAACTTTTTAAAGAAGTATATAGCTAAACTAACAATCATAATAATAACACCAATAGTTAAGATGATTGGTTGTTTTTCTAGACTGAGGAAATCAAAAATGAAAGTAATTATATATTTTTAATGTATGTTTTTTCCCTGCCCATCAGCTATTATACCTTCAACTACAAACAATCTTACCAAGTTATCAGTTTTCTCTTTTATTTTATAAAACATTTAATTTATTTTGAAATAATTCTAGTTTTACTGGAAGTTGCAGATAGTACAAAGAGGCTCTGCGTACCCATCACCTAATTTCCTCCAGTGGATACACTTTACATAATTATAGGGCAATATCCAAACCAGGAATTTGATGTTAATACAATGTGTGCATATAGTTCTATGTTGTTTTATCATATGTTTAGGCTTTTGTAACCACCATTGCAATCAAGGAACGGGATTATTCCATAAACACAAAGATCTCTCTCTCTCTCTTGCTAACCCTTTACATTCACACCCACCAAACTCTGCCTCAACCATCTCTACCCCCTAACAACTGCTAATCTGTTTTAGAATTTTGTCATTTTGAGAACGTTATTCAAATGGAATCATATAGTATGTGTCCCCTTGAGACCGGATTTTTCATTCAGCATATCGTTGAGATCCCTACACACGCATTGTTGCATGTAACAATGGTCCATTATTTCTTATTGCTAAGTAGTAACCCATGATATGGATGTGCCACAGTTTATTTAGCCATTCACCTATTAAGGGAAATCTGTTTTGTTTCTAGTTTTTAGCTACAATAAATAACACTTTTTAGAACAAGCCTGTACAGGTTTTTATGAAGATAAGTTTTCATTCTTTTGGGTCAAATGAGCAAGGGAATAAATGTCTGCTTATATGGTAAATGTATGTTCAGTTTTTTAATATTGTAACTACATAGAGATTTTTTTAAAATATATTATTTGTTTTTATTTCAATAGCATTTAGGGTACACGTGGTTTTTTTATTATATAAATGAATTCTATAGTGGTGAATTTTGAGATTTAGTGCACCCATCTCTTGAACAGCATACACTGTACCCAATATGTGGTCTCTTATCCCTCACACCCCTGCCAACCTCCCCTGCAATGAGTCCCCAGAGTCCATTACATCAATCTGTATGTCTTTGCGTTCTCACAGCTTAGCTCCCACTTATAAGTGAGAACATTTGATGTTTGGTTTTCCACTCCTAGGTTACTTCACTTAGAATGGCCTCCAGCTCCATCCGAGTTTCTACAAAAGACATTATTTCATACCTTTTTATGGCTGAGTAGCATTCCATGTTGTACATAGACCACATTTTCTTTATCCACTTGTTGGTCAGTGGGCACTTAGGTTGGTTCTATATGCAATTACGAATTGTGCTGTATAAATGTATGTGTGTATGCAATATAAGTCATAATGTCTTCTTTTCCTTTGGGTAGATACTCAGTAGTAGTTTTTAAGAAACTGTCAGCCAGGCGCAGTGGCTGACATTTGTAATCCCAGAACTTTGGGACGCCAAGGTGGGTGGATCACCTGAGGTCTGGAGTTCGAGACCAGCCTGGCCAACATGGTGAAACCCCATCTGTACTAATAGTACAAAAATTAGCCAGGCATGGTGGTACACACCTGTAATTTTAGCTACTCAGGAGGCTGAGGTGGGAGAATCGCTTGAACCCAGGAGGCAGAGGTTGCAGTGAGCAGAGATTGCGCCATCGCACTCCAGCCTGGGTGACAAGAGCAAAACCTCACCTCAAAAAAAAAAAAAAAAAAAAAAAAGTTTTGTTTTGTTTTTCTTGTTTCCTTGTAGATTCTGGATATTAGCCCTTTGTCAGATGGATAGATTGCAAAAATTTTCTACCATTCTATAGGTTGCCTTTTCACTCTGATGATAGTTTCTTTTGCTGTGCAGAAGCCCTTTAATTTAATTAGATCTCATTTGTCAATTTTGGCTTTTGTTGCCATTGCTTTTGGTGTTTTAGTCATGAAGTCTTTGCCCATGCCTATGTCCTGAATGGTATTGCCTAGGTTTTCTTGCAGGGTTTTGATGGTTTTAGGTCTTACGTTTAAGTCTGTAATCCATTCTGAGTTAATTGTTGTATAAGGTGTAAGGAAGGGGTCCAGTTTCAGTTTTCTGCATATGGCTAGCCAGTTTTCCCAACACCATTTATTAAATAGGGAATCCTTTACCCATTGCTTGTTTTTGTCAGGTTTGTAGAAGATCAGATGGTTGTAGATGTGTGGCATTATTTCTGAGACCTCTGTTCTGTTCAATTGGTCTATATATCTGTTTCAGAACCAGTAGCATGCTGTTTTGGTTACTGTAGCCTTCTAGTATAGTTTGAAGTCAGGTAGCATGATGCTTCCAGCTTTGTTCTTTCTGCTTAGGATTGTCTTGGTTATATGGGCTATTTTTTGGTTTCATACAAAATTTAAAGTAGTTTTCTAATTCTGTGAAGAAAGTCATTGGTAGCTTGATGGGGATAGCATTGAATCTATAAATTGCCTTGAGCAGTATGGCCATTTTCACGATATTGATTCTTCCTGTCCATGAGCATGGAATGTTTTTCCATTTGTGTCCTCTCTTTTTTCATTGAGCAGTGGTTTGTAGCTCTCCTTGAAGAGGTCCTTCATATCTCTTGTAAGTTATATTCCTAGGTATTTTATTCTCTTTGTAGCAGTTGTAAATGGGAGTTCACTTATGATTTGGCTCTCTGCTTGTCTATTATTGGTGTATAGGGATGCTTGTGATTTTTGCACATTGATTCAAACAACCCCATCAAAAAGTGGGCAAAAGATATAGACAGACACTTCTCAAAAGAAGACATTTATGTGGCCAACAAACATATGAAAGAAAGCTCATCATCACTGGTCATTACAGAAATGCAAATCAAAACCACAATGAGATACCATCTTACCACAGTTAGAATGCTGATCATTAAAAAGTCAGGAAACAACACATGCTGGAGAGGATGTGGAGAAATAGGAATGCTTTTACACTGTTGGTTGGAGTGTAAATTAGTTCAACCATTGTGGAAGACAGTGTGGCGATTCCTCAAAGATCTAGAACCAGATCCTTTGCAGGGACATGGATGAAGCTGGAAGCCATCATTCTCAGCAAACTAACACAGGATCAGAAAACCAAACACCACATGCTTTCACTCATAAGTCGGAGTTGAACAATAAGAACACATGGACACAGGCAGGGGAACATCACACCACGGGGCCTGTCGGGGGCTGGAGGCAAGGGGAGGGAGAACATTAGGACAAATACCTAACACATTAGGGGCCTAAAACCTAGATGATGGGTTAATAGGTGCAGCAAACCACCATGACACGTGTATACCTATGTAACAAACCTGCACATTCTGCAGATGTATCCCAGAACTTAAACAAAAAAAAATCAGTGCAAGGAAGGCCTATGAGGTTCCCAAAATAAAATCAACCTCAAGGTACAGGTACCTAGGCTGATGACATGGGATCAAAACCTTAAAATGTGTGAGGTAGGGCTGGTTCTGACACAATGCATCATTCATACTAGTATCCCTTCTGGACACAGTGAAAAGAATGAAGGGAAGAATTTCTGAGAATGAGAGTATCATCTGAAAGACTTGCAACCTCAGAGTACAGGTGAAGAGGTGAGGATGGGAAGGACCGGACAGAACTAGTCCCCTACAGTGACACCAGGCAAAAGACATGCAGCCCTGGATTCATCAAACCACTTCTCTTTCACCTTGGTGTGGACAGACATGTCTGAACATTCTTGCCTCGCCTTGTGTAAGCTCCAGGGAGATGGCTGGACCAGTTAGAGTTGAGGATAACCCAACTGCCACTTTTGCTAATAGGGCATGATGGTATTTGAATACTCAAGTAAAAAATAAAAGAGATATGGCCATAAAAATTATTTTTCTGTTTTATCTCCTATTTGTTTTCTTCTAATACGTAATCAATGTATGTGTATTGATTTTAGGTCTTGCTTCATTCATTGGTTAGTCATAACAGCAGTTTTATAGATTCTTCAGACATTTCTTTACAGATAATTATTTAATCTGTCAGAAAGACCAGTTATACTTTATAACTACAATCTGTTTACTAATTCCAACATCTGGATAGACTTCAAAGTCAGTTTCTTTTTTTTTTTTTTTCTCCTTCTTTTCAACTTTTATTTTAGGTTCGGGCATACATCTGTGGGTTTGTTACAAGGGTAAATTGCGTGTTGCAGGGGTTTGGCATACTTGTTATTTCATTGCCCAGGTAATAAGCACAGTAGCTGATTCTCACCCTCCTTCTACCCTCCACCTTCAGGTAGGCCCCAGTGTCTATTGTTCTCTTGTTTGTGTCATTGTATTCTCAGTGTTAAGCTCCCACTTTTAAGTGAGAACATAGGGAATTTGGGTTTCTGTTCTTGTGTTTACTTAGGATAGCAGCCTCCAGCTCCATCCGTATGCTGCAAAGGACATGATTTAGTTCTTTTCTGTGGCTGTTTAGTATCCCATGGAATATATGTACCACATTTTCTTTACCCAATCTATTGTCGATCGGCATTTAGGTTGATTCCACGTCTATGCTGTTGTGAACAATGCTGTGATGAACACAGATGCGCATATGTCTTCATGGTAGAATGATTTATATTGCTTTGGGTACTTCCCCCATAATGGGATTCTAAGCTAAATGGTAGTTGTGTTTTAAGTTCTTTGAGAAATCTCCAAACTGCTTTCCATAGGGGCTGAACTAATTTACATTCCCACCAGCAGTGTATAAGCATTCTTAGGGTCACATTTCTCTTCACTGAGTTTTCTCATGAATGCATATCACATTTTCTTGTTTCTTCATAGGACTAGGAGTTTCTAACTGGATACTGGACATTTTGACAATATATCATAGGAGATCTTGATTATATTATATATCCCTAAAGAATGCTTGGTTTCGTTTGTTTTTTTTTATTTGTTTCATTGGTGGGTTTGGTTTTTTATTCTATCTGGCAATTCAATTGGTTAGACTCAAACTTAAAACTCTGTTGCCCCTGCTTTAGATAAGCTAAAGTCTTTTCTAGTTGTTTTTGTTTTACCTGTAGATGTTTTTCAACCAGGACTATTAGATTTTTTCTACACATGTGTAGATTAGGTGTTAGCCAAGGATTAGAACAGAACTTAAGTATGAAATTTGAGCCCCCACTCTTAACACCCTGTTCTCTCCTTCATTTTTTCTCTCACTTTCCAGTCGTTGTGGCAAAACCAAATTCTGTCTGCTAATTTCTTAGGCAAGTAAGAGTGAGTATTAGTGAGCTTTCTGACTGAATTTAACCTACCTTACATCAATTTAACTGGGTAATACCCTTGGAGGAAGGGCACACACATATAGAAAAAGATAAATTTTATCCAATGTTGTTTCCTTCCAAGAAAAGAGCCATTCAATTTCTGCCTATTTTCAGTCACTTTCAGTACCTTTGAATTGTTCATGCATATTTTATTTACAGTTCATAATTGTTATCTATAGGTGGATGTATCAAACATAAGCTACATTTGATGTTTACTGAAACCAGAATTCCTCTTTCTGTTCGTTCAGTGGGTCTTTTCCCTTAATTAAAAATGCCTTTCTCCGTGAACCCGGGAGGCGGAGCTTGTAGTGAGCCGAGATCGCGCCACTGCACTCCAGCCTAGGCAACAGAGCGAGACTCCGTCTCAAAAAAAAAAAAAGTCTTCCTCAAATGTTAGACGTTATTTGTCTATCATTTCATATATTTACGAGGTTGATACACTCCCCAAAAGATATGTTCACCCATAACCTGTGAATATAGCCTTATTTGGAGAAAAGATATTAGCAGATGTAATTAAGAATTTCAAGATAGGAGATATACCTAATGCTAAATGACGAGTTAATGGGTGCAGCACACCAACATGGCACATGTATACACATGTAACAAACCTGCACGTTGTGCACATGTACCCTAAAACTTAAAGTATAATAATAATAAAATAAAATAATAAAATTAAAAAAAAAGAATTTCAAGATAATCCTCTGGGATTATCTGAATGGGCCATAAATCTAATGCACTGTTCACAATGGTAAATACTTGGAACCAACCCAACTGCCCATCAATGATAGACTGGATAAAAAAAAAAATGCACATATACACCATGGAATACTATGCAGCCATGAAAAAGGATGAGTTCATGTCCTCTGCAGGGACAGGGATGAAGCTGTAAACCATCATTCTCAGCAAACTAACACAGGAACAGAAAACCAAACACAGCATGTTCTCACTTATAAGTGGGAGTTGAACAATGAGAACACAGGGAAGGGAACATCACACACTGGGGCCTGTCAGGGGGTGGGGGGCTAGTGGAGGGATAGCATTATGAGAAATACCTGATGTAGATGACCAGTTGGTGGGTGCAGCAAACCACCATGGCACATGTATACCTATGTAACAAACCTGCACATTCTGAACATGTATCCCAGAACTTGAATTATAATAATAATAATAATAATAATAAAATATTTAATGACTGGTGTTCTTACAGGAGAAATGAGAAGGAGATTTGAAACACATAGAGGAGAAGAAGGACATAAGAAGATAGAGGCAGATAGTGCAGTTATGCAGCTGGAAGTCAAGGAAAACTGGGAGCCACAGGAAACCGGAAAATGCAGTAATAAATTCACCCCTAGAGCCTTTGGAGTAAGAACAGACCTGATGATATCTTTTTTTTTTTAATTATAACTTTTATTTTAGGTTCAAGGGTACATGTGCAGGTTTGTTAAATGGGTAAACTGCATATCACAGGGGTCTGGTATATAGATTATTTCATCACCCAGGCAATAAGCATAGTACCTAACAGGTACTTTTTCTGATCGTCTTCCTCCTCTCATCCTCTTCCTTCAAATAGGCCCGAATGTGTACTGTTTTCCTTGTGTCCACGTCTTCTCATGTTTAGCTCCCACTTATAAGTGTGAATACGCAGTATTTGGTTTGCTGCATCTGCATTAGTTTGCTAAGGATAATGTTCTCCAGCTCCATTCACATTACTGCCAATGCAAAGGACATTATCTCATTCTTTTTTATGGCTGCATAGTATCCCACGATGTATATATACCACATTTTCTTTATTCAGTCTACCATTGATCACTAACTAGTTTGATTCCATATCTTTGCTATTGTGAATAGTGCTGCAATGAATGTATACATGTTCCTGTGTTTGTATGGTGAAACTGTATATGCCTTTGATTATATACCCAATAATGGGATTGCTGGGTTGATTGGTGATTCTGTTTTGAGTTCTCTGAGAAATCACCACACTATTTTCCACATGACTGAGCTAATTTACCTTCCCAACAGCAGTTTATAAGCGTTGTCTATTCTCTGCAAGCTCGCCAACATGTTATTTTTTGACTTTTTAAAAACAGCATTACTGACTGGTATGAGACGGCAGCTTGTGGCTTTAATTTGCATTTCTCTAATAATTAGTGATGTTGAACATTTTTTCATATGCTTGTTTGCTGTGTGTATGTCTCTTTTTTAAAAATGTCTGTTCTTATCTTAAATTTAGGCAACTTTTAATGTGGTTGTTTTTGCTTGTAAATTTAAGTTCCTTAGAGATGCTGGATATTAGAACATTGTTGGCTGCATAGTTTGAAAAGTATCTTTTCCCGTTCTGTATATTTTCTATTTATTGATAGTTTCTTTTGCTGTGCAGAAGCACTTCATTTTAACTAGGTCCCATTTATTAATTTTTGTTTTTGTTGCAATTGCTTTTGGCATCTTTGTCATGAAATCTTTGCCAGGTCCCATGTCCAGAATGGTATTTTCTAGGTTATCTTTCAGAGTTTTTATAGTTTTGGGTTTTACATTTAAGTCTTTAATACATCTTGAGTTAAATTTGCATATGGTATAGCAAAAGATCCAGTTTCAACCTGCATATGGCTAGTCAGTTACCCTAGCACCACTTGCTAAATAGGGTTTCCTTTCCCCCATTGTTTTCCCCCAAAGAACAGATGGTTGGAGGCATGCGGCATTATTTCTAGGCTGTCTATTCTGTTTCATTAGTCTATATGTCGGTTTTGTACCAGTACCATGTATTTTGATTACTGTAGCTTAGTAGTAGAGTTTGAAGTCAGGAAATATGATGCCTCTAGCTTTGTTCTTTTTGCTAGGATTGCCTTGGCTGTTTGGGCCTTTTTTTTTTTTTTTTTTTTTTTTTTTTTTTGCTGTTGTTCCATGTGAATTTATAAATTATTTTTTGTAATTCTATAATGAAAATCATTGGTAGTTTAATAAGAACAGCATTGAATCTATAAATTGCTTTGGGTAGTAGAGGCATTTTAACAATATTGATTCTTCCTATCCCAGAGCATGGAATGCTTTTCTATTTGTTTGTGTCAGCTCTGATTTCTTTGAGCAGGGTTTTTAAATTCTCATTGTAGAGATCTTTTATCTCACTGATTAGCTGTATTTCTAAGTATTTTATTCTTTTTGTGGCAATTATGAATGGGATTGCATTCTTGATTTGGCTTTCAGTTTTCACGTTGTTGTTGTATAAGAATGCTACTATTTTTAGTACATTGATTTTGTATCCTGAAACTTTGCTGAAATTGTTTATCAGATCAAGAAGCTTTTGGCAGACAAGGGATTTTCTAGGTATAGAATCATGTCATTTCCAACCAGGGATAGTTTGACTTTCTTGCTTCATATTTGGATGACTTTTATTTCTTTCTGTTGCCTGATTGCTCTGGCCAGGACTTCCAGTACAAGATTTCACAGGATGGTGACAGAAGGCAACCTTGCCTTGTTTCTCGTTTCAAAGGGAATGTTTCCAGCTTTTTCCCATTCAGTAAAATGTTGGCTATTGGTTAGTCATAAGTGGCTCTTCTTATTTTGAAGTATGTTCCTTCATTGCCTAGTTTGTTGAGGGTTTTTAACATAAAGGAGTGTTAAATTTTATCAAAAGACTTATATGCATCTATTAAGATAATTGTGCCGTTTGTGTTTTTAGTCCTGTTTATGTGATGAATCACATTTATTAATTTGTGTATGTTGAACCAACCTTGCATCTCAGGGATAAAGCCTACTTGAATATGATTGATTTTGATGTGCTGCTGGATTTGGTTTGCTTGTATTTTGTTGATTTTTGCATCTGTTTATCAGCCTGAAGTTTCCCATTTGTGTGTGTCTCTGCCACATATTGGTATCAGGATGATGCTGGCCTCATACCGTAAGTTGGGCGGAGGAGTCCCTCCTGCTCAAATTTTTGGAATAGTTTCAGTAAAAATGGTACTTTTGTACCATTCTTTGTACATCTGGTAGAATTCGGCTGTGAATCTGTTGATCCTGGTCTTTTTTTCGTGGTAGGCTTTTTATTTCTGATTCAATTTTAGAACCATTACTGTTCTGCTCAGGGATTCAGTTTCTTCCTGGTTCGGTCTTGAGAGGTTGTATGTGTCCAGAAATTTATCCTTTCTTCTAGATTTTCTATTATAGTTTGTGTGCACAGATATTTTCATAGTAGTCTCTGGGATTTTTTGTATTTCTCTGAGATCAGGGATAATGTCTTCTTTGTCATTTCTAATTGTGTTTATTTGGATCTTCTCTTTTTTTCTTTATTAGTCTAGCTAGTCATGTATCTATCTTATTAATTTTTTCAAATAACAAACTCCTGAATTTATTGATCTTTTATATGGTTTTTCATGTCTCAATTTCCTTCAGTGCAGCTCTGATTTTGGTTATTTCTTATTTTCTGCCAGCTTTGGCATTTGTTTGTTCTTGTTTCTCTAGCTCCTCTAGGTGTCATTTTAAGTTGTCAATTTGAGATCGTTCCAACTTTTCAATGTAGGCATTTAGTACTATAAACTTACCTTTTAACACTCTCTTAGCTGTTTCCCAGAGATTCTGGTATGTTGCATCTTTGTCTCATTAGTTTCAAATAGCTTCTTGATTTCTGCCTTAATTTCATAACTTACCCAAGGCTCATTCAGGAGCAGGCCGTTTAATTTTCATTTAATTGTGTGGTTTTGAGCTCTTATCTTATTGTTGATTTCTATTTTTATTGCTCTCTGGTCTCTGAGAGTGTGATTGGTATAATTTATTTTTTTTGGGGGGGGGGAGAATTTGCTGAAGATTGTTTTGTATCCAAACATGTGGTTGATTTTAGAGTATGTGCCATGTGGCTATAAGAAGAGTGTATATTCTGTGGATATGCATGGGGAGTTCTGTAGATGTCTATTAGGTCCTTTTGGTCTAGCATTGAGTTTAGGTCTTGAATATCTTGTGAGATTTCTGAATCGATGATCTAAAACTGTTAGTTATGTGTTGAAGTCTCCCACTATTATTGTGTGGGAATCTAAGTTTCTTCATAGATTTATAGATTTGTAAGAACCTGCTTTATGAATCTAGGTGCTCCTGTGTTGGGTGTGTGTATATATATACATATATATGTATATATGTGTGTGTATATATATACATATATATGTATATATGTGTGTGTATATATATACATATATATGTATATATGTGTGTGTATATATATACATATATATGTATATATGTGTGTGTATATATATACATATATATGTATATATGTGTGTGTATATATATACATATATATGTATATGTGTGTATATATATACATATATATGTATATGTGTGTATATGTATATATATACACATATACATATATACATATATACATACATATACATATGTATGTGTATATATACACATACATATGTATATGTGTATATATACATATATACGTATACATACATATGTATATATACATATATACATACATATATACACGTATATATACATATATACATACATATATACACGTATATATACATATATACATATATACATACATATATACATATATACATACATATATACACGTATATATATACATATATATGTATATATATGTATATATATACGTGTATATATGTATGTGTATATATATGTCTTCTTGGTGAATTGAAGCTTTTACCATTATGTGTGTACTTCTTTGCCTTTCTTTTATCTTTGTTGGTTTACCATCTATCTAAAATTAGGATAGCAACCCCTGCTTTTTGCTTTTATTTCATTTGCTTGGTAGATTTTTCTCCAGCCTTTTATTTCGAGCCTATATGTGTCATTGCATATGACGTAGATCTCTTGAAGAGAGCATAACACTTGGTCTTGCTTCTTAGTCCAGCTTGCCACTCTGTGCTTTTAATTGGGGCATTTAGCCCATTTACATTCTAGGTTAGTAGTGATATGTGCAGATTTGATTCTGTTATCATGTTGTTAGGTGATTATAATGCAGACTTATTTGTGTGGTTGCTCTATAGTGTCAGTGGTCTATGTACTTAAGTGTGCTTTTGTAGTTTTCAATAACAGTCTTTCTTTTCCGTATTTTGGATTCCCTTTATAACCTTTTGTAAGACAGTCGGGTGGTTACAAATTCCATTAGCACTTGCTTGTCTAAAAAGGATCTGATTTTTCCTTCACTTATAAAGCTTAGTTTTGCTGGATATAAAATTATTGGTTGGAATTTCTTTTCTTCAAGAATGCTGAATATAGGCTGCCAATCTCTTCTGGCTAATAGGGTTTCTGTTGAAAGGTCCACTGTTAACGTGATGAGATTTCCTTTGTAGGTGACCTTTCCCTACAGAGGGATCCTGCCTAGTAATGAGAAGAGGGACAGCTGGGTCACAGGGGAGACAGGCTGATCTCTTCTCCTTAGAGCACCTCCAACTTGCTGGAGTTGTGTTTAAAGCACTCAGGGTCTTTTCTCCTTCCCCAGTCCAAGTGCAGCAAGGGCAGTACCACTGCAGTGGCAGTGGGAGAGGGATTTTCAGTTGCTTCTGGGAGTTCCATGTCAGAGAAACATGCAGACACTTCAGCTGGGAATGTTCAATCATGGGGTGGGGTGCCAGCACTGTTGGCCTTAGCTTGGGGCTCTGCTTTTTGTGTAGCAGGGGCTGAGGGCTTACAGAGAGGAGAGAATGAGTTCACTCCATGTAGTTACTGTGGCATGCTAGAGGTGTGAGTGAAGACCTCAGGCTCTTTCTTTCTTCCCCAGTCTGAGGGCAGCAGGGGCAGAACTGCTGCTGTGGGAGTAGCAGAGGGGCTGTCTGTTGCCTCTGGGAGACTTTCCCTAGGGAAACTCAGACCCACTACCAGTGGGCTCAGTTAGGGATGGGGTGGCTGATCTGTGGTCCTGAGCCAGGGGTCCTGCCTGGTGGAGTAGGGGTTGGAAGCTCACAGGAAAGAAGGACTTGATTCCTCTACATATGGTGACTGTTGAGTGCTGGAGGTGCCAGCATACTGGCTAGGCCCTTTGTTTCTTCCCTAACTTAAGAGTGGTTAGGGTGGTACCACTGCAGCTGGAATGATGGAAGGGTTGTGGGTTGTCTCTGGGATTTCCTCCTTAGAGAACTGTAGAGCTGCCTCCAATGGAATGAAATGTTTGGGTGAGGGCAGGGTAAATGTGATGGAGTCCCAGGTCAGGAGATACTGCCTAGTAAGGAGAAGCAGGATCAGACACCCATGTGGAAAATAGTCTGGCTGGTTTTCCTGTGGGGCTGTGTTGTGCTGGGGATCCATGCGAGTCCCTAGTCACTTCACACCCTCCGTAGCCTGTAGGCAACAGCAACAAGAGCTGAGATAGCAACAATGTGAGCTCGCCTCTCCCTGTGGGAACTCCATCCCAAGGAAGCACAGAACTGCTACCACCTGAGAGCCTTAGTGGGGGAAGTGGGTGGAGTCTTGAGTCAGGAGGTCTTGCCCAGTGAAGAGAAGTGGGATTGGAAACCCACCTGAAAAAAAAAACAGTCTGCTTTTCTGTGGGGTGGCTATGCTGTGTTGGGGAACTGTGCCCAACCCGAGTCACCATTCACCCTCTAGTGTCTGAAGACAACAGCCACGAGGGCTGTAAGACAACAAATATGGCATCTTGCCTCTCTCTGTAGGGGCTCCATTCCAAGGAAGTGCAGAGCCGTTACTGGCCTGAGGGGACTGGCCATGGAGTGGGCAGGTGGCTGGAGTTCCAGATCAGTCGGTCTTATCCTGCAACTTGCAGAGGCAAGGCCTGAAGTCCCTCGGGTCATGTGAGGGAGCCTGACCTCCCCCATTGCCAGAGCTCCATCCACTAATGCTGGGATGCCCAGGGATTTAAGGCTCCAGGGACTCCATATGTGCCTGAGCAGTGGCTCTTTCCAGATAACACAAAGCTCTGCAAGACGGTATGAAGGCCCCACTGGGGGTGGGCTTATGAGGGGATGTCCTGAGTCCGGGGATGTCATGAGTCCAGGGTTGCAAAGGTCTGTGGAAGAATTATGGGTCCCCAGGGACTCTCAGTTTCTCACCATTTCCCTGCTATGGGGAAGCCTCCCTTGGCTCCATGCCATTCTTGAGTGGGCAGTCGTTCTGTCTCGCTACTCTCCATTATCCATGGGTTGAGTTGTTTCTTTGATGAATTCCAATGTGTCCTCCTAGATTTTTCAGTCGAAGATTTAGTATTTACTCACCACTTTTTCTTCTCTCTGTGGAGTGGCACTCACCAGCTGCTTCTAATCAGCCATTTTGGCCCTGCTTCTCTGCTGATATCTTGATTTTGAACTTCTGGTCTCTAGAACTATGACAAAATAAATTTCTGCTGTTTCAAGCCACCCAGGTTTTGATGATCTATTGCAGGAGTCCTAGGAAACTAATATAGTATTTAAGAATGAGCAATGGAAGGCTAAACACTAGCTAATGAGGATAGTTGTAGGTTCTGATTGGGGTATGTTCTTGTAAGTTGAGTCATTATTCTATGACATTCAATTGCCAGAAAGAGAAAAAGCTTTTACTCTGAGGCAGCAGGGCCTAGATCAACTATTTTAGTTTATTAACCTAAATTATCTTAAAAGAATACTCAAACATTAGCCCTAAAGGTAAACATCTCTTTCTAAGAGATTCATTCCATAAGAGGGGAAAATGTATATGATTATATTGCTGGGTTTTTTTTGCAGCTTTTGTGCTTTGATACATTTCTAAGTAATTTTTACATATCGGTTCAAATTTCTTCTAGATAATTTAGGAAACATATAATGACCTAGAAGTCAAGATTTGTTCCTTTCAATTTTCTGGTTGTTGTTGTTATTGTTCTCATTTTAAGATGTCTAAGAAGGAAACAAATTCAAATAAGACTATTTTTCCATCTTAGGATAAAATGCTACAACATATTTAAGTATATTATGTCATTAAATATTTTAAAAATTTGCCCCATTTTATAAACAAGGGCACTAAGAGCTAGATGTTTTAAGTAGGATGGTACCCTCTTATCCACAAGGGTTATCCCAGTGTATGCCTGAAACTGCAGATAATACGAAACCCTATTATACACACTCTGAGTTTTTTTTTTTAAATCTCATAATCAAGATGGCTACTAAGTAACAGGTGGGTAGAACATATGGAGTGGATACACTGGATGAATGGATGATTGACATCCTGAGTGGGATCAAGAGGAATGACACAAGATTTTTTCATGCAACTTCAAATGTTTACTTCTGGAATTTTTCATATATTTTTGGACTGTGGGTAACTGAAACCATGGAAAGCAAATGTACAGATGAGGCGGGACTACTGTAACTTGCTCAAACATACAACCAGTAAATGGCAACTCCAGAATTCTAGTTCAAGTCTGACACTATTACTCTTAGCAGCTCTCTGCCTCACATTCTTTCAGCAAGAATTTACAGAGTACCAAATATATACCAGCAATAAGTATAAATATTTAACATTTTTTCTTGGTATCATCAAAAATAAGAGAATGCATAATGTGGTGTTTCTCCCTTCAAGGTGGCTATAGTTACATAGTGGATAAGAGGATATTAGAAAAGATTTTGTTTCTATGAAATTAAGAGCAATTCATATTTATATTATTCCATAATCGAATATCCTGGGAAATGTGTTCTATATATGTGGTTATGAGATTACATAGAAAAGAACTATAAAATAGTATCCTAAAATATTTGTCATTTGTTAGAAGAAACAAAAATAACTTGTTCCATGCATTTCACCTACTGGCTTTGTGATACAATAACCAGAAAAAAGCCACCCAGTACTTCTGACAACCTGAGTCTGTCTGCACTACATCTGAATTTATTACTTGCCATTTATTATATTGCTAATAAAAACAATATAAAATACTATCTAGTCACATTAAATCTGCATGGAAATCTTGTTACATTTCAATAAATGATTTAACATTTTATTATCTAAAATACTGATGTGGAATGAAGTTTACCACCATTTCTGTGAACTGTTAACTAAGTATTGATTGGACTACAAGTTGCAACATTAACTGGGGGAGAAAAGCTTTTCGACTTTTTATGGTACAAAAAGGCACTATGTGCTTAGGTGCTTTTTGACTAAATTGATACAGCACAGCCATGGTTCAGGATCCCACATAATATTCATGAGTCATACAGTGATGTTTCTAGTTATCTTTACTCAATAAAAGTTGTACATGTAATTAAAATTTTTAAAGTAAAAAATAACATTGGATGAAAATGAAACAATCATACCTTTGATCATTTCTTTAAAGTAGTTACATAAAAATGTCAACAATACATTAACCTAGTTTGAAGAAAAACAAAGCGGTTTACATTTGTATTAAGCCACTAAGTTATTGGTTTTTGCTACTTAGAATTTCTGTAGTTGATACTATATTGTAGGGTTTTATCTACAGTTAGCCTAGAGTATATAAAGTGTGTGTGTATATAAATATATACATACATATATAGAGAGACAGTATTTAAAAATCTTTAAGCAAAAATATTTAATGATTGAACAATTTTCTTCCTTTCAACATAATACTGTTATCAACATATAAAATATATTAGACATAACAACAGATTTTGTAGTTCTATTTAGCATATATGAAACTAAGGTTTAAGGTGAATGACAATCACCACTTAGCTGTTTTTTTTTTAAATCCCATCTCTATTCTAGACTTTATTGATGGCAAAACATTAGCTCTCGTTCTATGACATACATACATTCTGTGATATATCACATGAGAAACATAAGTTTTCCACACCCTTTCCATCTTAAATTAAATATATATCTACATATACGAAGCTGCAATTATTACCAACAATGTAGATAACTTCCAAAAATAAAACATTCTCATGATTTTTAGGAAACATCTTTAAAATGCTCATTTTATCAGAGAATGAGAAAAAATAATTCAAGGAAAGCTATTCAATATTCAGTTCCATAAAAACTCACCCTGTGACTTGTCTATGTACTTATTTTGTCCAAATATTTATTTCATCTTTGTTATATTAATATCCAGCTCAAAAACTTAATATTCTTATTTGTTAGGAAATTAGGAAGTTGCAAAGAGAAGTACTTTGCAAAGTAGGTCAAATACTGTATCACATCTCCCTTTGATATTACAGTGTCTAAATCAGACCAAATAGTTCTTATTACCAGAGAACTACGTGTCTACCACACATGGTGTGGGACCACCATTGTATATGCAGTACATCTCTTTGTACTTTACAAAGTACACTTGGAATTTTATTTCTAGTACATAGGCTTCCATTTTGATAATCTTATTAAGGAAAAAATATGAGAGAAGGAGGAAGGAAGGAACTAATAATATCCAGAATTTCCCATGGGAAATAGGGGACATCACTGGTAAACGGCTTGGATTTATTTTAGGGAGTATCACATACCTATGTCCCTGCTTAAAAAAGGGAAAAAATTACATGTATTATTTTCCCCAATGCTTAGGTTACCTCATCTAAAAGGCTGTAAGTGATTATTTCTAACGCTGATTGAACAGAGAACAGAAAGACATGATTCAGTAAGTTATTCGTAGTATGGGACAGAGCGGCCTTTCAGATTCTGCTGTAATGCTGTTATGAAGAACCTGCCCCTAAATCCTTAAGATATGTGTGTAAGTGTGTGTGTGTGTGTGTGTGTGTGTGTGTGTGTGTAGTTTCTATGCTTCTGTTTCAAATAGCCTACTCTAGGTCTAGAAGGGAATATGAGAGTCAAATTTGGTATATCTGAGTCACTACAGAATTAAAATATTATATGTTCACAAAGGTACATTAGTAAATGTACATTGTTAAAGCCTACAATTAATTTTTCCAAAAGTAAAAACTTCATCAATGCCAACTGCTGCAAGATTCTTATAGAGCTCTGATAAATGTTGACTTTGCCTTAAATACAGAGAAGGCATCATCATTGTTCTGCATCATCACCTTCACCTACACTTTCTGAGGTAAATGATTATCTTTTACTCTAACCTTTTTTAGTTTTTTTTTTCCTGGCAAGACCAAAGCAAATTTCCTCACAAAAATTTTTGGAAGGTAAACAGATAAGGATTAGCTTCAACCCACAAACACCACGAGCTAATCAACTACATCACCACCTCTCAATCACTGGTGAACTGCAAATTTCTATTTTCATGGCATTTCTGTTGTTGGTATTATCAGCGACTCAAGGCAATGAAAGTCTTTCTCCAAGAGTGCACATTATGGATCAATTCGCCCACCAAGTTTGTCACTTACTCTAATTTATGTACGCTTGAATTTTTCATATTGTATAAACGAGGTGCACAAAACTGGATAGTTAAAACAATTATGAACCCATGCTCCACCTTGTTTCTGATCTTGAAGACTTTAAACAGGCTTATGCACATCAACCCTTCCTTGTATGTGAAACTGCTGTGATAAATCCCACATAGGGATTTGCTGTTTAGGCACCAAACTTCACTAAGACAATGTCTTTCCATTCCTACCTCAGTGAATTATTGAAACTGGGATATCATTTGCTCCAAAAGATCCTTAAAAATTACCAGGAAGAAAGCATGGGTTTTGAAGACAGACAGCTGCAGGAACAATTTCAAGCCCTGCCACTTACCAGGTTAGGGATTTTGAAGAAGACATTTGATTTAGGTGGGTCAAATTTCCTTTGATGTAAAATAATAAACATGAAATAATAACAATAATAACTTATTTTCCAGATTGTTGTGAGGACTGTACTACAGGTAAATAGGTCAAATACTGTATCACATCTCCAACTTATATTACAGTATCTAAATCAGAGCAAACAGTCCTTATTTTACTGGAGAACTAGGTGTCTACCACATATAATGTGGGACCACCATTGTATATGCAGCCTGTCATTGACAAAACGTTATTCTGTGTGTGTGACTGTACAAGCAATTGGCCAGTCGTTAATTTCTACTTTACATCAAGGCCATTAGGACCTCTGAGTGATGAGCAATAATTTCTACACTAAATGAAATGTCTCACTTAGCAAACAGGGCAATGCAATTAATTACCAATTCACCCAGCAACAAAGACCATGAGTTAAACCAGGGAACGGTGGATGCCTCTCTCCAAACTCAGTAATAGCAAACATAGACTTTTCTTTATTCAGTCAGGCTACTTTGATTCTCAGAAGATTCCCTTAAGATCAAGTAAAGTTAACTAAAGTTAGCTTTGATTTTAAGATATGATTCTTTTCTGAATTCCATCAGCAACTTATTGCTCTTGACACCTAAAATTAACCATCACCCAAGATTACAGTTAAGTTTACATCTACAAAGGCAAATCATTGAGGGGAAATCTTTCAGATTTTCAGTGTAAGGAATGTTTACTAAAAACAAACAACATTGCTAGAATGATTAAAATAACCCAAAGCTCTAGCAGCAACTCTTAATGGGCTTTGTCATAAATTCTATGGACCAAAACTTTAATCCTTCGCCTTTTTTTCTCCACTTACCTTTGTATAGCTGATTTATCATGATTCAAATTTCAACCCAAAGGTTGTCTTTTACTGATCACTCAGCATAAAGTGGTCACATAATCTATTTGCATAGAATTTACGAGTAGCTGATATTATTTGTTCCTTTTTATTGTCTTAGTTCAAGACAATGTCTTAGTATCTAACATTGATATAACTGCTATGTACTTCTACTTCTTAAGGTGTTTTAAATCTCAATTTTCATGACATACTATTACTTGTTTTTTTAATCCCATAGAGGTCTAAAATCCTGAGTAATAATTCAGAGTGACCTCATTTCCCACCTCTTGGTGGTTTTAAATACCTAATTGTATAAAGTAACTCCTAAAGAAGACAGCCCTTCTATTTTTGAGGAAAGTTAATTTACTTACCAGTAATATGGTTTCCCCAAAGATCTATTATCCCTGGGAGATAAAAGGATAATATGATTTTGCTACTCCATAATACAATGATGATTATAAATTGTCTACTTTGAGCAGCATATCAGCTTTTCCAAAATAACTTTTACATTTTAAAAGTTAATATTACTTCTTATTTCATAGATAGATAGATAGATAGACAGATAGATAGATAAACAGATGCTTCTTGACTGACTATGGAGTTACATCTTAACAAAGCCATCATAAGTTGAAAACATTGTAAGCTGAAAATGTACTTAATACACCTAATCTACCATACATCATAGCTTAGCCTAGCCTACTTTAAACTTGTTCAAAACACTTACAGTAGTCTTCAGTTGAGCCAAGTTATCTGGCAACACAGTGCAATGTACAGTACTGGTTGTTTACCCTCCTGATTGCATGGCTGACTGGGAACTACAGCTCACTGCCACCACCTAGCATCATCAGACAGTGTCATACTGCATATCTCTAGCCCAGGAATAGATCAAAATTTAAAATTCAAAAAGGTTTCTATTGAATGTGTATGCTTCCACACCATCATCTAGTTCAAAAATGGTAAGTCAAATCATCATAAGTCAGAGACCATCTGTGTATACACACACACATACACATACACAATCTTTTATAGATATGTAATTGTTTGTACAAATATATTGATAATTATCTCATAAAATTGATGTTTTAAAGAATACAGTTTGGGAGACAGTGGATTGTTGTTTTTATTTTGAATTTTGATCTAAGTATTAAAGATAAATTCTGCTACTTTTATTCTTTCTGTACCATTTGGTAACTAGAACTTTCCCATATGAACATGAAATAAGTACGTGAAGACATTTTAATTCAGAGAATCATACTAAGTTATCATGGTTTTTGTTGTTTTTGTTTTGGCTTTATTACCATCATCTGACTTGTTAAAGCCTGGTCTGTCTTCTCATGAATTGCGTTTGCTCTGTTCTCCATCAGGTGTTAGAAAAACTGGATAGTAATTTTGGTTATATGTCTCAAAACATACCGATATCTACCAGAATAAGGCTAAAACAACTTAGAGAATACATTAAATCAATTATAATGTGTTTACATCGTCCTATTGATTTTGTGCTATTATATATTTTATTTTATTTCATTTTCCCATGCAATAGGCAATCTAACAGCCAGTATCTGTGGATTCTATTTCCAGAACATATCCTCCAACAATCCACTTCATTCAACTCCAATGCCACAGGGCTAGTGAATTCTACCATCATCTTTGCCTATTGCTATAGCTTCATAATTCCTTGCTGATAGTTGTACACATACAGTAAATTTTGCACAGAATCATCACTCACTGCTTAATATTTCAGTGGTTTACAAATTCCTCAATCTGATTTAAATGACCTATCTGCTACTTATTTGGCTTTTCCTCAACTTCTATCTCTTTCCCGTCCATTTCTCCAGTCATATTGAACTATTCATTTTTTTTTTTTTTTTTTTTTGAGACAGGGTCTCATTCTCTCACCCAGGCTGGAGTGCAGTGGTGCAATCTCGGCTCATTGCAACCTCCACCTTCCAGGTTCAAGAGATTCTCCTGCCTCAGCCTCCCAAGTAGCTGGGATTACAGGCATAAGCTACCATGCCTGGCCACACATTGAACTATTTCTCCAAGCTATTACCTTTTACTGATCACCCCATGTAAGGTAGCCACATAACTATTTGCATAAAATATAGAATAGCAGACATTATTTATTCTTTTTTACTGTCCATATTTTTCCAATAAAATATAAACTCAATAAATGCTATTTTGTTCTTTGCCATCTTGGACAGTGTCTAATATATAGTAGATAATAAATATTACAATTATAATTACAAGTGGTGAATGAATTATTATAAAAAGGGATAAAGAAGATGTTTTCTATTATACAATAATTTTGACTCTGTTAACAATTCTGAATAAGATAGAGCTTCATAGTATTGAGCATTGTGAAATGCTTCAGCTCACAGCCATAGAAAATGCTCCCTATATTCCCTAATTCAGGACTGAAGGGAAATCGTCCTCTTGTTATAAACAGAAACAATTTTTATGTGAATCATCATGTCTAAATTGTACTATAATAAAGTATTATTTCAAAAATAGCTTTGTCAAAATGAACACACTAGTGAACAGTCTTCTGTATATCACTACATCAATGGTACTGATAGATACTAATATATAATTATTTGAATCAAACTTTTGAAATGAGAATCTTTTAGCAATTTTTCAATATTACTATTTCATGTTGAGTACCAGATGTCAGAAGAGTTGAAAACATGTTTATTTCGGTCCTTTGGTCCTTCAAGATTTTTCTGACTCAATATCTTCCTCATCTTGCATGGATATGTATTTAGCCTCATTGAGTGAACAGGCTTTGAGGAGCAGCAATCTGCATACTTCCAAAAGAAATGATTTGGCCACCTGCACTTTTGGAAAATTGTAAAAAAGCTACAGAAGGCTTTCTGAGGCAGAAAATATCAATAAATAATATTTAAAGGTTTTGGATCTCTGAGGAATATAGAGCCTCATTAAGGTGCAAGTTCTTTAGAATGTTTAGAGAGAAATAGATGTGAACTCAGCTGGGTGATTTACAAATCTGGCAGAAAAGAAGTTAGTAAAGTTTAATGTGATTTTTATTTCAAAAGAAATATTACAATATACTTTTGCAATTTCCAAACTGCATGTTCAAATTAGTTTGGATTCCCAATAATTATCTCTGTCTCTCTCTTTCTACCTCCCCTGCTCTCCTACTCTACTCTGCCCTTCCCTGTCTTTGATTGTCAATACACATAAGCTATTAGAAGTCCTGGAAGTTCTATGTAAAGAAACTTAACTTTGTCCCACTCACGATTGCTTTACCATGGATCCTACTAACATATGTATGCATAACACACTCTAGGAAATAATGCTCTATGTATTAATATTTGGTTAATTGAGATGCATTAGGACATAGAAAAGACTATGCCTGAACTCAGAAATTACTCTTCAAAGCTATCAGATGAAATTAAACAAAGCTTACAGATTTTACAGAGCTAATTGGAAGTAACCTTTGGAACTTACTATAAAGTCTTTGTTATCTTGAGTTACAGATTAAGTTATAAATTCATTTTCATTTCCTCGGAAATGCTAAAGTTTTTCATTTTGTATTTCTTGTTTTAAACCTGGAAAAACTGGTATTAATTTATGGCAGGAAAAACATGAGGTTATAAAGCCTGTATTCATTCCAGGTTTACTCTTTTGGAGAATTAAAAACTCAAAATTCCTTCAAATTTATAATTTCTGTTACTGTTAATTTCAACAAGTGTTTTCCAATTGCTCCAATAAATTTCAGAACCATTTCTACTTATGTAAGTACTGATAAAATTTTACATATTTTAAATATGCTTATTATTTAACAAGGGTTTCTTAAGATTTATCTTTCTACATTTATATTTTGGGAAAGATTTTTATTCTTCTTATTTAATAACTATCCTATATGAAGCTACTACAAACTTTACCCTTCTATATGTATGGGGCTTTTTCAAGTTATGCTGACAGTACCATTAGAAGTCTAATTAACTAGTTAAATTTAAAGGTTTACAATTGTAAGCCACTGAATTTCAACAAAATGCTGATATATTGATTGTCTACTTAATACAATTATGCATAATTGTGTATACTTGAATAAAAATGTCTGCAAGTCTTATCAATTTTAATGTGATTTTTCTCTCTTGAATTAATTTTGCCCATATGGGTAAACCCTCTTGGCCCAATGCAGGAATTTAAAGATCTTAGTACAAGTGAATGAGAATAATCATATTATTATACAATTTTGAGGCTATTCTAATTAATATTTACATATGAGTTACGTTATGACGGTTAAGTAATTGTCAAAAGTTTTTACCTGCATTAAGCAGCAAAATAAAAATATTACTTTCCAATTAAGGTGATAAAAGAATTTGAGCTGATAAAGACAAGCAATCTGATGCTGGGGATATGGTCATTATTATCTGCTTTAGGAACAGGTTTATGATGATTATCATTTGACCTGCATATGCACCATACTTTTTATCATTATTTCTCAAAGTACTGTCCTTGGACCATATAAAGCAGAATCAATTGGGAATCATTAGGTTACAAGTCCAAGTTCTAGACCTACTGAATGACAGGTTGAACAGTTAAAAATAATTCATTAGTTGCAATTAATACACAAGGTTTTAAAACATAGCTCCAGTTAAGGGAATTTTACATAAGAAAATTACTACATATTATTGGTTCAATAATTAAATAAATGAATTGGATGACAATGAAGATAAATCCGCAATTATTTTCATTTTGCAAGATTAGAAGTTGTTGAAAACCACAATATAGTCAGTCCTGGTGATATACTGATAACAAAAAATTCTCAACAAAAGTTATAAAAATTCCAATATCTAAAAATACAAATGTGCAGTAAGAGCTCTACTGTGATCTCAAGCATTGTATAGTAGTGAGATTTCTTGCCCAAATTCTAAATTAAAATTATGAACATGTTTACTGAATTGATGGTTTTGTTTAGCATTGTGAATACTAGTACTCTGAAATCACTTATTTAGTAGTTATTGGTAAGTAGCCATTAGTCATACGTAAATGTTAAAGTCTAAGATCTTGTACAAACTTGTCATTAGGAAACAGCAAAGGGATTTTCATTTTGTTAGCATAAGTCATCCAGTCACTAATTTGATAACTGGTTTACAAGTCATCCCAGTAATTTTAGCTCTCAGTTTTCTCATCTGTCCAGCGATGAATATATTCTCAGCTTAAACTACCTGCCAAGAGTTTTACAGAACAAAAACACAGAGTTAGCACCATGCCAGCCAGCATCCCACCCCTGTGTTGACACCACCACTGGCATGAACATACACACAGATGCCAGTGACCCTGACCCCTACCACACACAACCACTGCTGCTGGCATTAATGCACACATAGAGGCCAGGAGCCCTGTGCCTGCCAGCATCCTGCCTCTGCACTGACACCGCCATCAGTGCAAATACACACATGGACTCCTGAAGCACAACTCCCCACCCAAAGCCATCACCACCACCACCACTGCAAATACATGCATGGAGGTGAACAGCTTGACTCCAGCAAGTTTCCCACCACAGCCAACAAGTGTGCACCCTACTCTGCTGTTGCTGTTGCTGGCATATATGGAAAAGCACAGATCTCACTGGCCCTGCTCTGACAAAGTGCTTTGGCTGGTACTATCCATCCACGTGCTATGGCCAGCAGCCTAGGAACACCTCAGCCCTTCCAGTGCCTAATCTTAAGGTTAGGAAGCAGAGAACAAACCCAAGGGCCTGACACGAATCCCCTGGAGTTAGAGTAGGGCAGTTGAGGATTGCTGAGCTGAACCTTGGCCCCTGAAACAAAGCCAGTCGACTGAAACCACCTTATACCACAATCAATACCGAAAGGTATCAAAGAAGATAAAAGAAAAAATTGCAAAGTACAGCAACTCCAAAGACTGAAGGAACATAAGTCCACACAGATGAGAAAGAACCAGTGCAAGAACACTGGCAATTTAAAAAGCCAAAGTGTCTTCTTACCTACAAATGACTGCACTAAGTTCCCTAGCAATTATTCTTAACCAGGCTGAAATGATTGAAATGACAGAAATAGAATTCAGAATATGGATAAGAATGAAGATTATCAAGATTTGGAGTGGTCAAAACCTAATCAAAGGATTCTAAGAAATACAATAAAATAATCCAGGAGATGGCCATTTTAAGAAACAACCAAACTGGTATGATAGTGCTGAAAAACTCACATCAAGAATTTCAGAATACAATCACAAGTATTAACAGTAGTATGAACCAAGCTGAGGAAAGAATCTCAGAGTCTGAAAACCAGTTCTCTGAAATAACTTAGTCAAACAAAAATAACTAACAAAGATTAAAGAAGAATGAACAAAAACTGCAAGAAATATGGGATTATCTAAAAGATCAAATCTATGACTCATTGCATCTCTGAAAGACAGGGAGAGAAAGAAAGCAACTTGGAAAAAATATTTCAGAATATTGTCCATTAAAATTTCTCCAACCTATGTAAAAAGGCCAACATTAAATTTGGGAGATGCAGAAAGGCCCTGTGAGCTACTACACAAGAAGACCATCCCCAAGACACATAATCAGCATATTTTCCAATGTCAAAAGGAAAGAAAAAAATGTTAAAAGCAGCTACAGCGAAAAGCCAGGTTATCTACAAAGGGAGCTCCATCAGGCTAACAGTGGACCTTTCAGCAGAAACCCTACAAGCCCGAAGAGATTCGGGGCCAATATTTAGCATTCTTAAAGAAAAGAAATTCCAAAGAAAAATTTTATGTCCAGCAAAACTAAGCTCAGAAGGAAGGAGAAATGAGATCCTTTTCAGATAAGCAAACACATTGTTAAGGAAATTTATTACCACCAGACTTGCTTTATAAGAGGCTCTGGGCTGGGGGCGGTGGCTCACGCCTGTAATCCCAGCACTTTGGGAGGCCTAGGCAGGTGGATCACCTGAGGTCAGGAGTTTGAGACCAACCTGGCCAACATGGTGAAAACCTGTCTCTACTAAAATACAAAAATTAGCCGGGAGTGATGGCAGGTGTCTGTAATCCCATCTACTTGGGAGGCTAAGGCAGGGAGAATTGCTTGAACCCAGGAGGTGGAGGTTGCAGTGAGCCAAGATGGCACCACTGCACTCCAGCCTGAGCAACAGAGTGAGACTCTGTATCAAAAAAAGAAAAGAAAAAAAAAAGAGGCTTTGAAGGTAATGTTAAATATGGAGAGAAAGACTGCTACTGGGCACTACAGAAACAAACTTAAGTACTTAGACCATTGACACTATGAAGCAACCACACAAACAAAATAAAGTTTAAATTAACAAAGATCGGAAAAGACAAAGAAAGGAATTACATAGTGGTGAAGGCCCCCAATACAGGAGCACCCAGATTCATAAAGCAAATTCTTAGAGACCTATGAAGAGATTTAGATTCCCACACAATAATAGTGGGAGACTTCAACACCCAACTGACAATACTAAACAGATAATCGAGACAGAAATCTCATGATATTCAGGACCTAAACTTGACCCTTGAGCAAACAGAACTAATATACATCTACAGAACTCTCCATCCAAAAATAACAGAATATATATTCTTCTCATCTGCATATGGCACATATTCTAAAATTGACCATACAATCAGACATGAAGCAATCCCCAGAAAGTTACATAAAATGAAATCATATCAATGACACTCTTGGATCACAGTCCAATAAAAATAGAAAAAAATACTAAGAAAATCAAATTGAATAATTACTGGAAATTAAACAACCTGAAGGACTCCTGAGTGACTTTTGGATAAACACTGAAATTGAGACACAAATCAAGAAATTATTTGAACGTAAAAAGAATGAGGTTATGACATACCAATATCCCTGGGACACAGCTAAAACAAGAGGAAAATTTACAGCACTCAATGCCCACATCTCAAAGCTAGAAAGGTCTCAAATCAACAACCTATCACACCTAGAGCAACCAGAGAAACAAGAACAAATCAATGCCAATCCTAGCTAGTAGAAGAGAAGAAATAATCAAATCAGAGCTGAACTGAAGGAAATTGAGACATGAAAAATGATAAAAGATCAATGAATACATGAGTTTGTTATCTGAAAGAATAAATAAGATAGATAAAATAGTACCTAGAGTAATAAAGAAAAAAGAAAAAAGATACGAATGAAAACACTCAGAAATAACAAAAGAGATATTATCACCAACCCCCCCAAATTACGCAAACCCTCAGAGACACGATCAACACCTCTATGCATGCAAGCTAGAAAATCTAGAAGAAATGGTTACATTCTTGGAAACATACAACCTCCCCAGATTGAACCAGGAAGAAATTAAATCTCTGAATAAAACAATAAAAAGTTCTAAAATTGAATCAGTAATAAAAAGCCTACCAACATGAAAAAGCACAGTACCAGATGATTTCACCACCAAATTCTACTAGATGTAAAAAGAAGATATGGTAACATTCCTGCCGAAACTATTCTAAAAAAAATTAAGGAGGAGAGTCTTCATCCCAACTCATTCTATGAGGCCAGGATTATCCTGATACTAAAACCTGGCAGAAACACAACACAAAAAGGAAACAATGCCAATATTCTTGATGAACTTAGATTCAAAAATTCTCAACAAAATACTAGCAAACCAAGTCCAGCAGCACATCAAAAAGTTAATCTAACATGATCAAGCAGCTTTTATCCCTAGGATGCAAAGTAGGTTCAACATATGCAAATCAATATATGTGATTTATTACATAAACAGAGTTTGAATAAAAAAACCATGTGATCATATCAATAGACGCAGAAAAGGCTTTCGATAAAATTCAGCATTCTTTCATGTTAAAACCCTCAACAGACTAGATGATAAAGGAGTGTACTTCAAAATAATAAGAGCCATTTATGACAAACCTGCAGCCAACTTCATACTGAATGGACAAGAGCTGGAAGCATTCCCCTTGAAAACCAGAACAAGACAAGGATGCCCTCTATCACCACTACTAGAAGTCCTGGCTAGAGCAATCAGGCAAGAGAAAGAAGTAAAAGGCATTTAAATAGGAAGTAAAACTATCTCTGCTTGCAGTCAATATTATTCTATAACTAGCAAACCCCATAGTCTGTGCTCTAAAGTTCCTTGATCTGATAAACAAATTCAGCAAGTTTCAGGATACAAAATTAATGTACTAAAATGATTAGTATTCCTGTACAACAATGACAACCAAGCTTAGAGTCAAACCAAGAACACAATCCCATTCACAATAGACTCAGAAAGAATCGAATACCTACAGATACAGCTAACCTGGGAAGTGAAAAATCTCTAGAATAAGAATTGCAAAACACCACTCAAAGAAATCAGAGATGACACAGCACATGGAAAAATATTTCATTCTCATGGGCAGGAAGAACCAATATTGTGAGCATGTACCCAGTGCCTAAAGCAATTAACAGGTTCAATGCTATTCTTATAAACCACGAATGAAATTTCTTTTTCTTTCTTTTTTTTTTTGAGATAGAGTTGCACTCCTTTTGCCCAGACTGGAGTACAATGGTTTGATCTCACCTTACCGCAACCTCCATCTCCTGGGTTCAAGCAATTCTCCTGCCTCAGCCTCCTGAATAGCTGGGATTACAGGCATGCACCACCATGCCTGGCCAATTTTGTATTCTTAGTAGAGATGAGGTTTCTCCATGTTGGTCAGGCTGGTCTCGAACTCCCGACCTCAGGTGATCTGCCCACCTTGGCCTCCCAAAATGCTGAGATTACAGGCATGAGCCACCACACCTGGCCTACGAATGACATTTCTTACAGAATTAGAAAAAATGATTAAAAAACTCATATAGAATAAAAAAAGAGCCTGAATAGCCAAGGCAATTCTAGCAAAAAGAACAAAGCTGGAGGCATCACACTGCCTGACTTCAAACTATACTACAAGGCTACAGAAACCAAAACAGCTTGGCGCTGGTACAAAAACAGACACATAACCCAATGGAACAAAATAGAGAGCCCAGAAATAATGCTGCACAACTCCAGCCATCTGATCTTCAACAAAATTAACAAAAATAAGCAATGGGGAAAGTACTCCCTATTCAATAAATTGTTCTATGATAACTGACTTGCCATATGCAGAAGACTAAATAAAATTGGACCCCTTTCTTATACCATATACTAAACTAAATTTAACTTAAATGTAAACCCTAAAACTATAGAAACCTGGCCGGGTGCGGTGGCTCACGTCTGTAATCCCAGCACTTTGGGAGGCTGAGGTGGGCGGATTACCTGAGGTCAGGAGTTCAAGACCAGCCTGACCAACAGGGAGAAACTCTGTCTCCACTAAAAATACAAAATTACCTGGGTGTGGTAGCATGCACCTGTAATCCCAGCTACTTGGCAGGCTGAGGCAGGAGAATCACTTGAACCCAGGAGGCAGAGGTTTCAGGGTGCCAAGATTGCACCATTGTACTCCAGCCTGGGCAATAACAGTGAAACTTTGTCTCAGAAAAAAAAAAAAAAAAAAAAAAACAAAACTGTAGAAACCCTGGAAGACAGCCTAAGAAATATCACTCTGGAAATAAGAATGGGCGAAGATTTCATGATGAAGGTGTTAAAAGCAATTGCAACAAAGAAAAAAATGGACAGATGGGACTTAATTAAAGAGCTCTGCACAGCAAAAGAAACTATTAACAGGGTAAACAGACAACCTACAAAATGGGGAAAATATTCACAAACTATGTATCCAACAACAGTCTAACACCTGGAATCTATAAGGAACTTAAACATATTTACAAACAAAACAACCCTATTAAAAATTGGACAAAGGGCATGAACAGACTCTGAAAGACATACCCGTGGCCAACAATCATATGAAAAAATGCTTAACATCACTAGTCATAAGAGAAATGCAAATCGAAACCATAATGAGAGAGCATCTTACACCAGTCAGAATGGTATTATTAAAAAGTCAAAAAATAGCAGATGCTGGCAAGGTTGCAGAGAGAAGGGAATGCTTATACACTGATAGTGGGGATATAAATTAGTTCAGCCATTGTGGAAAGCAGTGGGGCAATTTCTCAAAGAGCTCACAACAGAATTTCCATTTGACCCAGCAATCCCTTTATTGGGTATATACTCAAAGGCATATATATCATTCTATTAATACCATACAGAGAGATGCATGTGTATATTCATTGCAGTACTGTTCACAAAGCAAAGGCATGGAATCAACCTTGATGCCCATCAATGGTGGATTGGATAAAGAAAATGTGATACATATACATCATGGAATACTATGCAGCCATAAAAAAAATGAGATCATGCCCTTTGCAGCAACATGGATGGAGCTGGAGGCCATTATCTTTAGCAAACTAAGGCAGGAAAAGAAAACCAAACATTACATGTTTTCACTTCTAAGTGCAAGCTAAAGACTGGGTACTCATGCACACAAAGAAGAGAGCAACAGACACTGGGGCTTATGTGAGTGAGTGTGAAAGAAGGGTGAATATCAAAAAACTATGTATTGAGTGCTATGCTTATTACATAGGTAACAAAATAATCTGTACACCAGTCCCCTATGACATGCAATTTACCTATGTAACAAACCTGTATGTGTACCCCTGAACCTAAAATAAAAGTAAAAAAAAAGACAGTTACTATGAAAATAAAAGTCAGTAGGTAGTTACCATGGTAAATGATAAGCATACTTAATTCATTTAGTTATATTACGAAATATTTAGCGATCACTTTTTACTTTTCTTGGAATCAAGCTATCTTTATATTTGCTTTTCATTCATTTATCCATCCAACAAGTATGTATTGGACACCTACTATATGTGAGACATTCTGATTGTTACAGGAAATGAGCCCAAGGTATGATCCCTTGGGATTATCAGTCTGGTGAGAAAGACAGATAATAAAATAAATTGATAAATGTTATAAATTACAATGATTTTAAGTGCTATAATTTAATGTCATATAGAGTGTTAAGCACATTTACCATTGAAGTCGAAGTCAGATAAACTTGCGCTGAGATGTGAAGAGTGAATGAAACTTAACTCAGCAAATGGAGGTGGTAAAGTGCAGGAGTAGACAGAGCATTCCTGGCAGAGTGAGCAATTATTTGGGTATTCCTGAAACATTTAGGTTGAGTAAATCATGATAAAATTTTCTTGAGATTT